>NW_025791780.1:300000-383128 GCF_000001405.40 Homo sapiens | reverse complement strand
GAATTCCACAAATTCTAACTGTGCAAATAAAATAGTGAAATGTCCATTTAGGTTTCTGTCACTCCCATAAATATATAGATTTATTTCTCATAATATAATTACATATTGGTTGGGAGAGCAATTAGTTAACCACATAGTATTAGACATGCTACTGCATTAACTGACCAGTTTTTCTGCATTTGAAATTACAGAGCAATTAGAATAATCACAGTATAAATACTACAATTTATTCTTCAGATTTTTTATGAAAGACTGTTATATAAGATTTGGAAGCCGGGCATAGTGGCTCATGCCTGTAATCCCAGCACTTTGGGAGGCCTGTAATCCTAGCACTTTGGGAGCACTTTGGGAGGCGGGGGATCACCTGAGGTCAGGAGCTTGAGACCAGCCTGGCTAACATGGCGAAACCCCATCTCTACTAAAAATACACAAATTACCTGGGCTTGGTGGTGGGCGCCTGTAATCCCAGCCACTCGGGAGGCAGAGGCAGGAGAATCTCTTGAACCCGGGAAGCAGAGGCCACAGTGAGCCGAGATCATGCCACTGCACTCCAGGCTGGGTGGCAGAGCGAGATTCTGTTGCAAAAATTAAATAAATAAATAATTTTAAAAATTTTGGAGAAATCAAACTCCTCATGGTATAGTCGAGACATCACAGCATGGGGATGGAGAGACATGATGACTTTGTGCGTGAATTCAAATGTCAGAGAAATTAAAAGTCTATTGCAATATCAAAAAGCAAAAAGTAAGCTAAATTAGTTTGACTTTATTATCATATATTTAAAAGTATTTTAGTACACAGGTTTGCTCATCCCTTCTTTTATCTCTTCTTAATGTCACTTAGGAGCCATATTTGTTAATAATAATGGTTTAATATATTAGCCTACTGTACCATATTCATGTAAAACAACAGTCAAGATTTGTAGTTTCTTGAATAATTTGTTGATTAAATGAAAACCTACCACTTCCATATATTTAGCAAATATTTTTAGATTTTTAAAAATCTTCCTAAGAATAATTCAAAATCTCTTTGTCTCTTCCAATCAAGGCAAAGTGATGTAGTTCCTGCTCTTCTGACTTTTTTAAACTAACTTTTCTGCTGGAAAATTCTGTCAATAGAGTTCTTAAAAGGATTTGTATTAAGCCTTCCACAGATACTCTGATATTAAAATCAGGTCTAAGTAAACAGGTGCATTCTGCGTAGTTAAAATTAAATACTGCTATAAATATGCCCAGTGGGGTAATCCAATTTACTAGTCACTTCAGAGCTGATATGAAAGTCAAAAGGTACTTGGCAACATCGTTTGGAATCAGGATTACTTGTAGGTTATTTATCCTTGAGAAGTATTGTAATGTCTGTGTATAAAGTGCATTATTCCTTAGAAACTGCCTCGGTCAAATAACACAGGCTTAAGATTCTCATTTTCTGTCCCTTTATGCTGTGTACATGCAGAGTCAATCCATTGTTATTACACAGCCAATTATAGGACCAAAACATAATTTGCATTTCTTTTCTCCTTTTTAGTCATAATCTTGATGATTATAGCCAAGTTCTATTTTGTAATTTTAAAGAAATCCCCTAAATGTACTTCCACAAGCTATTTTAATTATTCTCATGATATCTGTGGTAGGTAGGTGAAAATGGTCACTAACAGCCATAAATGATAATTAAGAAGTATGTGACCATAGCGATGTGTTAGGAGACACATATTTACGGGATTTTTATTTAAATTGATTAGCATTGCTTCATGCATAGACCAGTGGTTCTCAACTGTCCATCAGAGTAAGCTGGCAAGATTGTTAATAGTTTAGATACTCAGGTTCATGCCCAGAGATGGTTCTCATTTTCTATCTGTCTCTATCTCTACCTGATGCCCAGAGATTGTTCATGCCCAGAGATAGTTCACTATCTGTATATCTATCTGTATCTCTCTATCTGTATCTCTATCTGTATCTGTCTATCTGTATCCCTAGCTCTCTCTCTCTTTATCATGTCCTACTTCCAGATGATACAAATTTGCAGCCAAGGCTGAGAAACGCTGATCTAGGTGAGAATGTACCAAGCAGAAAGATTAAGTGAATTATTAATGCCCACAAAGTCATTTCAAATGTGTATTTATTTATTCAATTGATTTGACTGAAAACTAGTTCTCAGCATTTTAACAGATTTTCCTCTAAAGATGTAAGCCATTGGCTGACTGACTTGACTGAAAACTAGTTCTCAGCATTTTAACAGATTTTCCTCTAAAGATGTAAGCCATTGGCTGACTGACTTGACTGAAAACTAGTTCTCAGCATTTTAACAGATTTTCCACTAAAGACGTAGACAGAGTTTGCATTTTGAGACAAGGACACAGGGTAACATTTAATCAATCTAATTAACAGCAGGAAATAAATGGGTATTACCCACTAGATTGTGATCGTCATTAAAAAAGGAGTAATGCCTATTTTGAAAGCTTTACAAACATATTTGAGTGATTGAATAAATAAATACACATTTGATTTTGTACATCCCAGATTCAGTACATTGTGATAAATTATAAAAAGAAAAAAACTCGTTATACTTTCCATTTCCAAAATATATTCAAAAGTAAAAATATTAACAAATTTCAATTTCCGATGATTACTACTACTTCACAATAAATGCAGGAAAAATTCCATAATAATTCACAAAAACTCTGTACTTAACAGGAAACAACTCTCATTGGTATTAGATAGATAGACCTTGCATTATTTATACCAAATGACATTTTCTTTTTTTTTATTTTGAAGGTTTAATAAAGTATAATTCAAAAATTGTGTGATTAATGTATACTATCTGATTATTTGGTATGTGTATATTATGTGAAATGATAACAACGATCAAGTCAGTTAACACATCTATAATCTCACCTAGTTAGTTTGCTTTGTTTTGCTTTTGTTTTTGTTTTAAATTTCAACTTTTAGTTTAGATATGAGGTTACATATGGAAGTTTGTTACACGAGTCTGTTGTGTGATGCTGAGGTTTGGGGTATGCATCACATCACCCAAGTAGTACGCATAGTACATGATAGGTAGTTTTTCAGTTCACATCACCCGTTTTTTCTACCCCATCTAGTAGTCCACAGTGTCTGTTTTTCCCATGTTTATGTCCATGTGTGCTCAGTATTTATTTCCCACTTATAAGTGAGGACATGCCATATTTGGTTTTGTGTTCCTGCACTAATTTGCTTATTATTATGACCACCAACTGCAACCATGTTTCTGCAAAGGACCTGATTTCGTTCTTTTTTCTATGGCTCTGTAGTACTCCATAATGTATTTATACCACATTTTCTTTACCCGATCCACCACCACTAATGAGCACCTCAGTTGATTCCATGTCTTTGCTGTAGTGAACAGCATGATGATGAACATTTAGGTACATGTGTCCATGTGGTAGAATGATCTATGTTTCCTTTGGGCATATATGCAATGATAGGGTTGCTGGGACAAATTGTAGCTCTATGATAAGTTCTTTGAGAAATCTCCAAACTACTTTCCACAGTGGCTGAACTAATTCATATACCCAGCAACAGTGTATACGCATTCCCTATTCTCCACAGCTTTGCTGGCATCTGTTATTATTATTTTTTTTTTTTTTACTTTTTAGTAATAGCCATTGTGAGTGGCATGAGATAGTATCTCATTGTGGTATAGATTTGCATTTCTTTGATGATTAGTGATGTTGAACTTTTCAGCCACTTGTATGTCTTCTATTCAGAAGTGTCTGTTAACGTCTGTTGCCTATTTATTAATGAGATTTTTTTTGTTTCTTGATTTGTTTAAGTTCATTATAGATTCTGGATATCAGACTTTTGTCAGATACAAGGTGATTGGTATATATTTGCGAATATTTTCTCCCACTCTATAGGTTGTCTACTTTGTAAATAGTTTATTTTTCTGTGCAGAAGCAATTTAGTTTACATCACACCTGTCAATTTCTGTTTTTGTTGAAATTGCTTTTGGGGACTTAGCCAAAAATTGTTGGCCATGGCCAACATCAAGAAGGGTATTTTCTAGGTTTTCTTCTAGGATTTTAGTTTGAGGACTTATTTTAAAAGCTTTAATCGATCTTGAGTTAGCTTTGTATACGGTGAAAGTTAGGGGTCCAGATTCATTCTTCTGTATGTGACTAGCCAACTATCCCAGCACTACTTATTAAATAGGTAGTCCTATCCCAATTGCTTATTATTGTCCACCTTGTTGAAGATCAGGTGATTGTGAGTGTGAGTCTTTATTTCCTGGTTTTTTGTTCTGTACCATTGATCTACATGTGTGTTTTTGTACAAGTATCATGCTATTTTTGTGACTGTGGCCTTACAGTATAGTTTGAACTTTGGTAGTACAATGTCTCTGGATTTGTTCTATTTACTTAGAATTGCACTGGTTATTTAGGATCTTTTTAGGTTCCATATGACATTGGTAGTTTGCTAGGAATAGTGTCGAATCTTTAAATTGCTTTGGGCATTATGGCTATTTTTATGATATTGATTCTTCCTATCCATGAGCATGTAATGCTTTTCCATTTATTAGTGTCATCTTCTTTTTCTATATGGATGCCTTTCATTTTTTTCTTTCACTTTATTACTCTGACTAGAACTTCTAGTATATGTTGAATAGGAGTGGTGAGAGTGGGCACCTTTGTCTTGCAGTTCTTAAGGGGAATGGCTCCAGCTTTGGCCTATTTGGTATGATGTTGGCTGTGAGTTTACCATAGATGGCTTTTATTATTTTGACCTATGTTTTGTGATGCCAACTCTGTTGAGAGTTTTTTATCATGGAGGGCTGTTGGATTTTATCAAAGTCTTTTTTTTATATCTGTTGAAATAATCATATGGTTTTACTGTCTAATTCTGTTTATGTGGTGAATCATATTTATAGATTTGTATGGGTTGAAACAACTTTGCATCACAGGAATAAAACCTTCTTGATCATGGTGAATTAATTTTTTGATGTGCTGCTGGATACAGTATGCTAGTATTTTGTTGAGTATTTTTATGGCTATGTTCATCAGGGATACTGGCGGGAAGTTTTGTTTTTGACTTTTTTTTTCACTGTGTCTCTGCCAGATTGTGGTATCAGGTTGATGCTTGTTTCATAAAATTAGTTAGGAAGGAGTCTCCCTCAATTTTTTGGAATAGTTTCAGTAGGATTGATGTCAGTTCTTTTTTATACATATGAGAGAATTTGACTGTAAATCCATCTGGTCCAGGGCTTTTTTTGGTTGGTAGGTTTTTTGTTACTGATACAATTTCAGAACTTGATATTGGTCTATTCAGGATTTTATTTTTTTCCTAGTTCAATTCTGAGGTATTATCTGTTTCCAGAAATATATATATATTGTCTCCAGATTTTGTAATTTTTGTGCAGAGTTGTTCATAGTAGTCTGAGATGTTTTGTATTTCTGAAAAATCATTTGTAATATTTTCTTTCTAATTTCTGATGGGATTTTCTTCTTGTGCTGTTGTTGTTAATTCAGATAGTGCTCTATCAATCTTATTTGTTTGAATAACCAACTCTTGGTTTCATGTATCTTTTGTATGGATTTTTGAACCTCAATTACATATAGTTCTTCTCTAGTTTATTTTTATTTTATTTTATTTTATTTTTTGAGATGGAGTTTCACCCTGTCGCCCAGGCTGGAGTGCAGTGGCACAATCTTGGCTCACTGCAACTTCTGCCTCCCGGGTTCAAGCAATTTTCCTGCCTCAGCCTCCTGTGTAGCTGGGATTACAGGCACGCATCACCACGCCTGGCTAATTTTTTGTGTTTTTAGTAGAGACAGGGTTACACCATGTTGGCCAGGCTGGTTTCAAACTCCTGACCTCGTGATCCACCTGCCTCAGCCTCCCAAAGTGCTGGGGTTACAGGCATGAGCCTAGTTATTTTTACTGATAATTTGAGATCTTTCTAACTTCTTGATGAAGGTGTTTAGGGCTATAAGCTTTTCTCTTACCACTGCTTTAGCTACATCCCAGAGATTTTGATAAGTTTTGTCCTTATTTTCATTAATTCCAATGAATTTTTTATTTCTGCCTTAATTTTGATGTTCCCTGAAGAGTTAGTTATTCAGGAGTAAATTGTTTAATTTTAATGTATTTGTGTAATTTTGAGAGATTTTATTGATATTCACTTCTTTTTTTTACTGCATTCTGTTCTGAAAGTGTGCTTGGTATGATATCTAATTCTTTGAATTTATTGAGACTTGCTTTATGACTGACCATGTGGTCAATATTAGAACATGTTCTGTGTGAAGGTCAGAAGAATGTATATTCTGTGGTTGCTGGGTGGAGTGTTCTTTGGATGCCTATTAGATACATTTGGTCTAGTGTCAAGTTTAAGTCAAGTGTCAAAGTTAAGTTTCTTTGTTAGAGTTCTGCTTTGATAATCTGTCTAATGCTGTCACTGGGGTGTTGATGTCTTCCACTATGAATGTGTGGCTAAATAAGTCTTTTGGTAGATAAAGAGGAACTTGTTTTATCAATCTGGGTGCTCCAATGTTGGTTGCATATATATTTAAGACAGTTAGTTATGTCTTCTTGTTGGATTATATCCTTTATCATTACATAACGCCTTTCTTAATTATTATTGGTTTTAAGTCTGTTTTATCTGATACAAGAATAGTGATTCTTGCTCTTTTTTGTTGTTGTCCTTTTGCTTGGTAGATCATTCTCTATCATTTTGCTTTGAGCTTGTGGATTTCATTATAGGTCTCTTGAAGACAAAAGGCAGTTAATTCTTGTCTTTTTATCCTGCCTGCCACTCTGTGTCTTTTAAGTGGGGTGTTTAATCCATTTAAACTCAAGGTTAGTATTGATATGTGAGATTTTGATCCTTTCATCATGTTAGCTAAGTGTGATGTAGACTTGAACATGTAGTTGCTTTACAGTGTCTGCGGGCTATGTGCTTAAGTGTGTTTTTGCAGTAGCAGGTGTCATTTTTCAATTTCACGTTCAGCATTTCCTTAACGCCCTCTTGTAAGGCTGGTCTAATGGAAACAAATTTCCTCAGTATTTGCTTTTCTGAGAAGAATTTTATTTCTCCATTGATGAAGTTTAGTTTGGTGGGATATGAAAGTCTTCATTGGCATTTCCTTTTTTTAAGTTGCTGAAACTAAGCCCAATCTCTTCTGGTTTGTAAAACTTCTACTGAGAGGTCCATTGCCAGCCTGATGGGGTTCTGTCTGTATATAATATATATGACCTGACTCTTCTTTCTGGCAGCCTTTAAGATTTTTCCTTCTGTGTTGACCTTGGTGAATCTAATTTTGAGCCTTGGGGATGGTTGACTTTTACAGCATCTGGCCAGAATGCTCTCTATTTCTTGAATTTGCAAGTCAATTTCACTAGCAAGATTAAGAAAATTTTCATGGCCTGTGTCCTCAAGTGTATTTTACAAGTCTTTCATTCTTTCTCCTTTTCTCCCAGGAATTGCAATGAGTCATATATTTGATCTCCTTATAGAATCCCATATTTCTCTAAGGTTTTGTTCATTTTAAACTTACTTTGTATTTATTTTTTGTCTAATTAAGCCTGGTTTAAAGGACCAGTTACTGAGCTCTGAGATTCTTTCCTCACCTTGGTCCATTTTGCTGTTAATACTTCCGATTATATATCTTGTAGTGAGTTTTTGAGCTCTAGAATTTCAGTGTGGTTCTTTCTTTTAAAAGTTACTAATCTTTCAGTCCTTCCATCATTTTACTATATTCCTTGCATTCCTTGGATTGGGTTTTAATTTTATCCTAAGTCTTGATGTGCTTTCTTGCTATACAAATTCTGAATTCTACGTCCGTCATCTCAGTCATTTCAGACTGGTTAAGAACCATTACCGGGGAGCTAGTGGACTCCTTTGGAAGTAAGTACACACTCTGGCTTTTTAAATTGCCAGAGTACTTGTGCTGATTCTTTCTCCTCTGAGAGGGCTGGTGTTCTTTTAAAGGTGACTAAGTTGAGTACGGTCAGTTGGCTTTTCTTTTTGGGTGTTTTCAGAGGGCCAGACCTCCGTACAAGGTCTTTATTTGTGACTGAGTTCTTGCTCTTGGTTTCACGGGGAAGTATATTAGCAAAAGATATTTGATGTTTTAGTTTGGGCTGTGATCCACTAAATGACACATAAGAGACATAAGAGTAATGACAGTAGATAGGCTCTTTACTCAGTCACACAGCTCCTTTGTCTTTTCTTGCATTTGCAGCCATGCTCCACAGTGTGAGAGGGAGAGAAGTGACCCCCTCAGCAGGTCAACTTCTGGTCCTTGGGGGAGCTCCTCTCATCATTGGCACTGTGCCTCTGTGTCTTTTCTTTCCTTTTTTTTTTTTGAGATGAAGTCTCACTCTGTCACCCAGGCTAGAGTGCAGTGGCACAATCTCGGCTCACTGCAACCTCTGCCTCCCGGGTTCAAGCGATTCTCCTGCCTCAGCCTCCCAAGTAGCTGGAACTACAGGCGCGCACCACTACGCTCAGCTAATTTTTTGTGGTTTTAGTAGAGACAGGGTTTCACATGTTGGCTAGGCTGGTATCGAACTCCTGACCTCAGGTGATCTGCCCACCTCGGCCTCCCAAAGTGCTGGGATTACAGGCATGAGCCAGTGCGCCCAGCTGCCTCTGTTTCTTTTATTAGATGTTCTGGACTGTGGGGCTCCTTTGGGCAGATGCTGTATTATGGGGATAAGCCACACACTTTTTGAACTGGCCCGGTCAAGGGGGACATAACTATTTCCTGTGCCACCCCATCAATCCCCACCTATTCTGAGTGTAGGCTCCTCCCCTGCTTGAGTAATGGCCACAGATCTTGGCTCGGCACTCCCAAGCTGCATGCTGAATTCCTGGGACAACAGGACTGGCTTGTGGTTCCATTCTCCAGATCCTTGGGTTGGCTTCTGGGTACACTAGGAGATCTGAAATGCTCTCAGGCCACCAGGAAAGTACTCAGATGCAAGAAAGCACCCAGACACTCTGAGCTTTTGGTGTTATAACTGCAATTTATACCATTTGACTGACACCACCCTCTTTTTTATATGTCCATGCCCCTAGTAACCACCATTCTGCTGTCTACTTCTATAAGTTTAACTTTTTAAGATTCCACATATAAATGAGATTCTGCAATATTAGTCTTTTTTTGTCTGACTCATCATCAGGGTAATGCAAATCAAAACCACAATGAGATAACACTTCATACCCGAGATGATGGCTACTATCAAAAAAGATAAGAGATAACACAAGTGTTGGCAAAGATGTGGAGAAACAGCAAAGATTGCCAGAAAACCACTAGAAACAATGGGAAAAGCATGAAACAGATTCTTCCTCACAGCCCTTAGAAGGAGCCAACCCCAGGCCCGGGGCGGTGGCTCACTCCTGTAATCCTGGCACTTTGGGAGGCTGAGGCAGACAGATCACGAGGTCAGGAGATCGAGACTATCCAGGCTAACACGGTGAAACCCCGTCTTTATTAAAAACACAAAAAATTAGCCGGGCCTGGTGGCAGGCGCCTGAAGTCCCAGCTACTCGGGAGGCTGAGGCAGGAGAATCGCTTAAACCTGGGAGGCAAAGGTTGCAGTGAGCCAAGATCGCGCCACTGCACTCCAGCCTGGGTGACAGAGTGAGACTCAATTAAAAAAAAAAAAAAAAAAGCAGAAGAAGGAGCCAACCCTGCCAACACATTCATCTTAGACTTCTATCCTCTAGAACTAAAAGACAATAAATTTCTGTTATTAAATCCACTCACTTTGTGATACTTTGTCATGCCAGTCCTAGCAAGTCAGCACACAAGTGACATAATTCCTTTATGAGTCTATGTCCATTAACCAAAAATGGACATTTATGGAGGTCAGGAATTTATAATTGACAAGCATTGTAATTATGACCCAAGCAACATATTGATTTATTTGTTTTGTTTTCTTTAGAATGCAGTTTTCCTAAAACATTATTAGAGTACTACAAATTTTCAGTTTGTGAAATCATTTGAGTCTGTGAAGTTGAAAGCATGTGTGTGTATGCATGTGTGTATCATCTTTCCAATCTAAAGCACGTTCGCTAATACCCTGCAGATGAGAAATCTATCATGAAAGAAGAATTTTTTTAATTTTACCACCTCTTCAAAATGTAGACTTTCTAATCCCCATAGGGATGTCCTGAGAACACCAAATAAAGCTATCCATCCTAACAAGTGTTCACAATTTTGACCAACAAACAACAACCTACATATATTATCTCTAGTTGTCTGACTTATTTCTCATACGAATATTTATCAATAATTTATCATATTGAACAAGTTTTATTCTTAATGTATTGGACAGTGTTAATAACTTTGGAATTAATAATATTTCTATATTCTCAAACAAAATTTATGTCATCCTAATGCTGTTTAATCTCCTTTCCTCTCTAAGAACTCAGAGTCCTCATGATTCACTCTGAGGACAATGGGACAGTATTCTTTAGAAAAACCCAGATGATTTCCCAGCTGGCTCAGACTGGAAGCACACACATCTCCCAAACAATATTCATGAATTACTGATACAGTCTGCCAATCCTAGAATAAAGATTCTAATTCTTCCTTCTGCAGTGACATTTTTATTTCTCCTTTCATTTCATATAGCTCTGGTTCTCCCAAAAGAAAGCTCCTCAAATCTTCAACTCTCCGCTGAGTCATAGGTATTGCTCACAACTTCAATGGCTATATCCTCCAATGTGACAGTGTGCCCTGAATTCTTTGTTGAGGATGTGCTGGTGCAGAGAGTAAAATCAGTGGGTGTCTGTACTTCTATATTAAGCTATAACCAATAATGAATATTGACATTTTGTTCTACTAGATTTATGTTCCAGCTTTGGTCTGTGGTGTCCAATTTAGCAAGTGTAAGCACCTACGTGATTTGCTCATTTTCTGACCAGAAATAAGACGGTACTTCAGATAAACATATTCTTTTCATTTATTAATGTTAACCCATTTCAACAGACTCTAATACATCACTGGATAATCAGATCTTGCTAATTTCTTTTAATTTTGGGTGCCTAGGATCTCCTAGATGATGCAGAGAGAAATAGTGATTCTAGGTCAGTTTATTGTACTCTTTAACTTAATGAGATTAGTTCTATCATTTTATTTCTGAAGCAATGTTAAGTTTTAGTTGATGCAGTTTGTCAAGTAAAAAAATATATATATTGTTTCTAGTAATCCAAACATTTTATACCAAGATCTGTATAGAACTTTATCAAAGGATATTTTCTATGATAGTTGAATTGATTGTATTTTTCCTTTTAATTGGTTAAAGTGGTTAAGTTCATTATTTCCTACTCTATCTATGAAGATCTCAAGAGTAATTTAGGGATTCTACTAATTTTGAGAGGAGAGGATAGGGTGATGAAATTTTGCTATGTTTTTTATGAAGTATACTTTAATGTGCTTAAAGAAATTGGGTAAAATACTTAAATTTACTTTTAATTATTTTTTAATATTCTATAATATTTTACTTTTAACTTACCACACTTCTCCAAAATGTATCATGATTACATAGAAAAATAAGTCCGTGTGTGTATGTGTAAGTATATATAAGCACACATATATGTATGCATATGTGTATATATACACACATATTTACATTCAAATATATGTATACGTATGCTTATATATTATGAATACCTTCATATATAGAAATGTGTACAATATGTATATACAAACATACTTAGATACATACAATATGTCTAAGCTTCATCATTTGGGAATCCTCCTTCAGGCTAACCCTTCTTAAAAATATTGCGTGACACTTAGAAGCCTTGGTTTAGAATTTGAATAATCCCTAACATTGGTTTTGTTGATTACTAGTTTTGCAATCTTAGGCAAATTATTTAATTTTCTGAACCTTTTGTCTGTAAATTAGGAAGACACAGGTATGATGCGTGTGTTGTGATGCTTAAAACAATGATGCTTGTGTTGTAACTAGCATAAGACTTTATACACAGGAAGTGCTCAAAAAAAGTATTTTTTTCAAAAATTATGTAATGTGACTATTCAATACAAAAGGCACTCTATAAAATAAAATGAAATTGATTAGTGTACCTCAAAGATTCAGCTGTGTAGGTAATTTTTTCTCAGTTTTTCTTTTGGTGATTTTATTTATTTTAAATTCACACCAAAAAAATTCATGATGGGAAAAGTAAAATTGTCCCTGCCAACATCATAGAATTCAAATGAGAGATTAATTATGTCATATATAAAGCATCACTTTGAACTTCAGAAAGTCAATTAAATTTAAATTAAAAAAAAACAAATACTCAAACCTTTCTAGGTTTCAAGTTTCTATCTAAGCTATAAGAAAAAGTTACAATATAGTCACTCGTATGTTAAAGTACATGAGTCAATGATAGTGATATTTTTCTGTAATTTATGGAGTAATTATTTTATATGTTATATATATTATTATCTGTACATAAGGTAATAGGTACCAGGTGGAAAAAAAAATAATGTTCACGTTAGTATTACTATGCTTGTTAAGATAATTTTAATTCAAAATCTATTAAGCACCACATATTATTTTACCAGGGCTGCCACAACAAAATACAAGAGACTGGATGGCTTAAACAACAGCAATGTATTTTCCCACAGTTCTGGAGTTGGGAAATCTGACATCAAGGTGTCAGCGGGTTTGGTTTTTGCTGAGGCCTCTCCTTGGCTTGCAGATGGCTGCCTTCTTGCTGTGTGTTCACATGATTGTCTCTTAGTGTGTGCATTTGTCTGGTGTCTCTGTCTGTCTTAATCTCTTTTTAAAAGGACACCAGATATATTGGATTAGAACTCATCTTATTGACCTAATTTTTGCTTAATTCCTTCTTTAAATATCTTGTCTCCAAATGGGTTGCATTCTGTGGTACTCAGATTTAGGGATTCAATATATGAATTGGGGGGAACACAAATCAGCCAATATCACATGAATTCTTTTTCTAGCAAAGAAAGCATCCATTCTATTAGGAGTCTTCCTTTACTTAATAGAAAACCAGCAGAACAGTACTATGTTTATACAAATGTAAATTAATTTACTTATTCCTGTATGAGAGCACTCATATGTGTGTGCATGTGAAAACAAAAGTCATAAAGTCACTGTATATCTGAACACATGAATTTTAGTATACTTTTAAGAGGATTGTCTTTCAGAGACTTAGAAAATCATTTGAAGTTTTCAAATGGAGTTAGACTAGACTGCTGGTTGCCCACATACAGTGTTTTGTATTTTGTGATGAATTATTTCAGACTTTGAAAAAATACTGTGATATTCTCTGGGAGACCTGGAGATTGAATGATCCACAGCAGATAGGAGAGAGGACTTCACACATAAATAAATGGATATGTGTGCTGTGTCTAACTTTTGAGTGGTAACAATCCTTGAATTTGAAGGAAGACGACATTTTCATGACTGTTGAAGCTTTTGGAATCAGGACGTAGAAATGAAGAATGTGGTGAACTAAGGCATTAAAGTTAAAATAAAACCAGAAAATTTTGATAGATTGTGATTAAGTAGACCTTGAACATATGAAAACTTTCAGGGATCCTGATATTTGTCTTGGACCTTTGGGCCCTGAAAGTAATCACCTTTGTTACTAGGGGAAGTCACTTTTTTTTTTTTTAATTATACTTTAAGTTCTAGGGTACATGTGCACAACGTGGAAGTTTGATAAATAGGTATAACCTGTGCCGTGTTGGTTTGCTGCACCCATCAACTCGTCATTTACATTGGGTATTTCTCCTAATGCTATCCCTCCCCCAGGCCCCCACCCCCAACAGGACCTGGTTTATGATGTTACCCACCCTGTGTCCAAGTGATCTCCTTGTTCAATTCCCACCTATGAGAGAACATGCAGTGTTTGGTTTTCTGTCCTTGTGATACTTTGCTGAGAATCATGGCTTCCAGCTTCATCCATGTCCCTGCAAAGGACATGAACTCATCCTTTTTTATGGCTGCATAGTATTCCATGCTATGTGCCACATTTTCTTAATCCAGTCTATCATTGATGGACATCTGGGTTGGTTCCAAGTCTTTGCTATTATGAATAGTGTTGCAGTAAACGTATGTGTGCACGTGTCTTTATAGTAGCATGATTTATAATCTTTTGAGTATATACCCAGTAATGTGATTGCTGAGTCAAATGGTATTTCTAGTTCTAGATTCTTGAGGCATTGCCACACTCTCTTCCACATGGTTGAACTAATTTACACTCCCACCAACAGTGTAAAATTGTTCCTATTTCTCCACATCCTTTCCAGCATCTGTTGTTTCCTGACTTATTAATGATTTCCATTCTAACTGGTGTGAGATGGTATCTCATTGTGGTTTTGATTTGCATTTCTCTGATGACTAGTGACGATGAGCATTTTTTCATGTGTCTGTTGGCTGCATAAATGTCTTCTTTTGAGAAGTGTCTGTTCGTTTCCTTTGCCCACTTTTGGATGGGGTTGTTTGTTTTTTTTCTTGTAAATTGGTTTGTGTTCATTGTAGATTCTGTATATTAGCCTTTTTTCAGATGGGTAGATTGCAAAAATGTTCTCCCATTCTGTAGGTTACCTGTTCTACAGAACAGGTAGTTTCTTTTGCCATGCAGAAGCTCTTTAGTTTAATTAGATCCCATTTGTCAATTTTGGCTTTTGTTGCCATTGCTTTTGGTGTTTTAGTCATGAAGTCCTTGCCCATGCCTATGTCCTGAATGGTATTGCCTAGGTTTTCTTCTAGGGTTTTTATGGTTTTAGGTCTAAGATTTAAGTCTTTAATCCATCTTGAATTAATTTTTGTATAAGGTGTAAGGAAGGGATCCAGTTTCAGCTTTCTACACATGGGTTGCTAGTTTTCCCAGCACCATTTATTAAATAGGGAATCCTTTCCCTATTTCTTGTTTTTGTCAGGTTTGTCAAAGATCAGATGGTTGTAGATGTGTAGTATGATTTCTGAGGGCTCTGTTCTGTTCCATTGATCTATATCTCTGTTTTGGAACCAGTACCATGCTGTTTTGTTTACCGCAGCCTTGTAGTATAGTTTAAAGTTGGGTAGCATGATGCCTCCAGCTTTGTTTTTTGTTTGTTTGTTTTGTTTTGTTTTTGCTTAGGATTGTCTTGGCAATGCAGGCTCCTTTTTGGTTTCATATGAACTTTAAAGTAGTTTTTTCCAATCCTGTGAAGAAAGTCATTGGTATTTTGAGCCTACCAACCAAAAAAAGTCCAGGACCAGACAGATTCACAACTGAATTCTACCAGAGGTACAAAGAGGAGCTGTTACCATTCCTTCTGAAACTATTCCAATCAATAGAAAAAGAGGGACTCCTCCCTAGCTCATTTTATGAGGCCAACCTCATCCTGATACCAAAGCCTGGCAGAGATGCAACAAAAAAAAAGAGAATTTTAGACCAATATCCCTGATGAACATCAGTGCAAAAATCCTCAATAAAATACTGGCAAACTGAATCCAGCAGCACATCAAAAAGCTTATCCACCACAATAAGATCGACTTCATCCCTGGGATGCAAGGCTGGTTCAACATACACAAATCAATAAACATAATCCATCACATAAACAGAACCAATGACAAAAACCACGATTATCTCAATAGATGCGGAAAAGGCCTTCAATAAAATTCAATAGCCCTTCATGCTAAAAACTTTCAATAAACTAGGTTATTGATAGAATGTAACTCAAAATAGTAAGAGCTATTTGTGACAAACCCACAGCCAATATCACACTGAATGGGCAAAAACTGGAAGCATTCCCTTTGAAAACCGGCACAAGACAAGGATGCCCTCTCTCACCACTCCTATTTAACATAGTGTTGGAAGTTCTGGCCAGGGCAATCAGGCAAGAGAAAGAAATAAAGGGTATTCAATTAGGAAAAGAGGAAGCAAATTGTCCCTGTTTGCAGATGACATGGTTGTATATTTAGAAAACCTCATCGTCTCAGCCCAAAATCTCCTTAAGTTGATAAGCAACTTCAGCAAAGTCTCAGGATACAAAATCAATATGCAAATATCACAAGCATTCCTATACACCAATAACAGACAGAGAGCCAAATCATGAGTGAACTCCCATTCACAATTGCTACGAAGAGAGTAAAATACCTAGGAATCCAACTTACAAGGGATGTGAAGGATCTCTTCAAGGAAGTCACTTTCTGTATTGTACTTCGCTTAATACTTAAGCCTCCAGGAAAGTTTTGTTAGATATTGCAGTCAGGTCTAGGCTAAGTATTTTAAATTTTTTATTTTTATTTTATTTGGTTATAAGCGGTGCTCTGATCAGTGACAGAAGTGACTTGGTTCCACCTTTAACAGAACGTTGGTGTAGAGCAAATCAGCACAATCTTCTCCTCTATGAACATGTGTGTTGACTCATGCATACTCAAGAAACCCTGTGAAGCAGCCTTGAAAAGAGATTTTTCTGGCCAAGGTAATAAGCAAATACTTGTATAGATGTTATGACTGTGCAAATGGTTTGCAAGAAGACCTCAGAAATGACTTGCAGAAGAGAATTTTGAAAAAAAAAATTTAACTGGCTGTAACACAATAGAAAGCCAGTCATTAATTGTAATAACTCTCTAGTGTTGATACTCTAAGGTATGAGCATACCTCAGAATTAGGACCAGTTCATATTATACTAAAAAATAAATATTGTCTTAAATGATATGGTGTTATTAGGTCACATTAAAATGAGGAACACTCATTTTGCTTCTATTATAATTATCATGGAGTCATTCACAGCTAAAATATCTGGAATTGGTTCATACAGATATTTACATTAGTCACCAAACACTCACTCATTTGGATAGTCAGCTGGGCTAAAGTAAAATATGTATTATAAAGATTACCTTAATTACTGAAAACACATCCTGGAGTATTTCTGCTTTCGTGAAACAAACAGCCAATAAAAAGTTTCTGGATTTTGAAAGGCCCAATTCACTATGGTATTGTAGTCCATAGAGAAAAGAAGCCTCTGGCATTTCCTTGTTTATCATAATTATGTTGCATTTCAATTATTATTCTAATTAATCATTAAACAGGCACTTCAGGCTTTGCTATGATGATAGAATTGATTTCCACGTTGCTTTGATGTCCCATGAACATGACCTCGTCAGTGTAACTCTAACCTTGAGATGCCTCTTCGTTTCCTTTTAGTAACTAGAGACTAAATCCCTCAGACACATTCTGGAATCTGATGCTCTATATGTCTAATGTGTTAGAAGCTCCATTAGGATGTAACAAGATTTTAGCCACATTCCCCGCAGCACTTTGGAGTACTGCTGCTTCATGAGATTTTTCTCTAAAGTAACCTTTCAAAGTCAGCCACAAAACCTCTTATTCTAGATCATACTGGCATCTGACCTTTGTAAACTTACAAGAAAAAATAGGAAAAAGGAAGATGCTAAGGGAGACACAGTTATCTTTTTCAAAATGCAGCTAAACCCACAAGCTACAGAGATATCATGACCTATAAAGTTCAGAGCTGTGTTTTTTTTTTTTTTGTATTTTTGTATTATACTTTAAGTTTTAGGGTACATGTGCACATTGTGCAGGTTAGTTACATATGTATACATGTGCCATGCTGGTGCGCTGCACCCACTAACTCGTCATCTAGCATTAGGTATATCTCCCAATGCTATCCCTCCCCCCTCCCCCCACCCCACCACAGTCCCCAGAGTGTGATATTCCCCTTCCTGTGTCCATGTGATCTCATTGTTCAGTTCCCACCTATGAGTGAGAATATGCGGTGTTTGGTTTTTTGTTCTTGCGATAGTTTACTGAGAATGATGATTTCCAATTTCATCCATGTCCTTACAAAGGACATGAACTCATCATTTTTTATGGCTGCATAGTATTCCATGGTGTATATGTGCCACATTTTCTTAATCCAGTCTATCACTGTTGGACATGTGGGTTGGTTCCAAGTCTTTGCTATTGTGAATAATGCCGCAATAAACATACGTGTGCATGTGTCTTTATAGCAGCATGATTTATAGTCATTTCTTTCTAACAATTACCCACAGCTATTATGATTTGCTCCCATCACTAAAACTGTCATTGCTAAGATAATTGCTCCAGTTTGAGAAGGTAGAAGATTTAACAAGTAACTAATATGTAAAGGATAGAGAGAAGAAGGGGAGAGGTTGATATGATCCCTGTCCTTTCACACTGTTAATATGCCAGGTGATAAAATGTCTCATTCACTCTGAAACATTATCACTATACAGGCACTCCTTACAGTGTTTGTTCTCATATATGTCCTCGTATTTTTTTTTTCTTTTAAAGTGGCTCTGAGAAATGGCTAATGCACAATCTAATTATGTGATAATAAATGTTAATGACAGTATTATCAGATGATAACTAGGCTTCATTAATGTGTCTCATTATGATTCTCAGTCCCTTGTGGAAGATTGTGAAGAAAGCACCTTAGATATTCCAGATTATATTTGAATGTAGTAGTTACAGAGCCCATATCCAGGGAGAAAGGAAGATATCAGAGACACCTTTAAGCTCTTTCTCTAATTTTGCTTCTTCAAACCTAAGCATCCATCAATCACATCTCAAAATTTATCATATACCTTCAGCATAATAAAAATAGTAATTATAATAATAGTAATAGTCCTGATATGACAAATAATATGTAAGATCATTTTAGTTGTAACTGCTGATATATTTTGGTATAAGTATGCAGGCATTTATGTCCCAAACATTATGACCTTGATTATCCATAAGCAAGTTCAAATCATTTAGAGAGGATACACTTATTTAAAGGTTTGCACCTGTTAAATTTTGGTTCTGCTACACTATATATATATATATATATATATATATTTTGTTGTTGTTGTTGTTGTTGTTGTTGTTGTTGAAATGGAGTCTCCCTCTGTTGCCCAGGCTGGAGTGCAGTGGCACAATCTCAGCTCACCGTAACCTCCGCCTCCTGGGTTCAAGTGATTGTCCTGCCTCAGCCTCTCAAGTAGCTTGGATTACAGGCATCTGTCAACACGCCCAACTAATTTTGTATTTTTAGTAGAGACAGGTTTCTCCATGTTGGTCAGGCTGGTCTTAAACTCCCGACCTCAGGTGATCCACCCACCTCAGCCTCCCAAAGTGCTGGGATTACAGGCATGAGCCACTGCACCCAGCCAGCTACACTATTCTTAATATTCAAAGTAGCACTGTCAAGTTATCACCAAGATTTCATCACAATTTTTATTATTTTTCTATATTTACCCTCTATTTTAACTATGTAAATTTATCAAATGTTTTAATATTTGAGAGGGCAAATCTACTATCACCGTTATTTAATGTTTTGTATTTTTTCTTAATTATTATATTTTTTAAATTGACGTGATAATTGTACATATTTATGGGGTATGTAGTGATATTTCGATACATACAATGAATAGTTAACAGATTCGTGTAATTCACATATCCATCATGTCAAAATTTATTATTTCTTTGTGATGGGAACATTCAGTTTACCCCTTCTAGCAATTTGAAACTATATATTATTGTCAACTACGGTCATCCCACAATGCTATAGAACACTAGAACTTATTTGTCTCTAGCTTTAATTTTGTATCCCTTGACAAATCTTTCTTTATCCTTCTCTCATCCCACCCTTCCCTGTCTCTAGTATATTCCATTCTACTTTTTCCTCCTCTGAGATCAACTTTTTTTTAGTTTCCACATATGAGTGAGAACATGCAGTGTTTAACTTTCTGTTCTTACCTTATTTTACGTAACATAATGTCCTCTTGATTTGTCGAGGCTGCTTCTTATAGTTTCTATTAGAAATATGTGTGTGTGCGCCTGTGTGTGTATAATGTAGGATATTTTAGGTAACTAAATAGTTGTAAATAAGGCTGAACTGTATTTTTAAGGTTTTATTTGTGACTAATAATTTGTCTTATTAATAAAGCCTAGGTTAAAAAAATAAGTGGAAGACATATCTGTCACACACTATATCTTGGGAGTTTTGAAAAATAAAGTGTTGATTTCAGGCAAAATACTTAGTTCAACTGTAACTAAATCAGCAAAGATGTCATGATTCCATAAGGGATCCACTCTAAATATAATGTTAAATGGAATATTTCATTATATTTTAGAAGTAGGGACTACTAGTTTGACATTTATGTTTTTGAGTATATGTGGTTGCATTCTTATATCTAATAAAATATTCAGTTGTCTTAAACTTAACATTCTTAAGGCCTAGGGCAAGAATAATAATCAAAACCTATATAGTGTATGTTTGCATATTTAAAAGTTATAAATCAAGTTAACAAACTGTTAAATAAAGTATGCTGTGTTCTCTCACTTTGACACATATACCTTCTCAATGAAATTCAGGTTTGGAACTAGAATTCTTGGGCCGTCAACATCCAGCATAGAATATGACGACATAGAGAGAGCCGGTGCCCTGACCTGGTCTCATACCATGAGAGGCCTTCTGTGTATACGTTTTGGGTACCTCTGTTGATATGTTGAAACTCAGTCTACCACTGTAGCTCTAGCAAAAAGCTTCCCATTGGCCCACAGGGCCTCTAGTTGTGCACTCTGTATACGTGGTTCACCATGAAAGACAGAACTGGTGGAGAGGAACATGGACGCTGGAAGCAGTCTCAAAACCCTTTGAAGACAGAATTCTAAGTCTTTATGTTCTACAGCATGATCTAAAAGGTGGTAGGTGGGGGTGAGCAGCATCACCTCCAACTAACCTCATCCCCTTGGACCAGGTAAACTCCTTGTACTTTGGGGAGGAATGTGGCCAGAGAGAGGACCATAGTGGAGCCCTTGAAAGCACAGGCTCCAGGGCAAAGTGTTCTTTTGCTCAATTATATGGGCATTCTTCTTATGGGTGTAGTTATTTGCTTATTGCTATGTAATGATTTGGATTTAATAATGCTATATTGAAAGTGCAATGGCCTACAGAACTGAGGGATCACGTTTTAGCTTAAATTCAATAGAAAAAAATGACTCTTTTATAAAAAAAAGTATTTAAATTTGTAAGTTGTCATCCCTATCCACTAAGGGATATTAAATGTATTAAATACTGGGAAATATATATGCACATATATATTTATATATGTATGTATGTGTGTGTGTGTGTGTGTGTGTGTGTGTATAATAGTGATCAGAGAAAAAGACAAATGAAGACAAACAGCAATAAGGATAAAAATAGTCCAATCATATGAACTCCCAGATGCCATTTTGGAGGAAAATAAAAATTTCCATAGAAATCAATAGATAAGGAACAGATATTTAAGAAAATGTGCTTGGAACAAGTGCACATAAAATAACTAAAATTTAGCATAATGGTCATGAAGGAAAAAAATGTTATGCATGAAAACAAGACATTATGGAATATGAGAAAATTAGATGCTGAAGAAAATAATTGATTGGACTAAAATTATTCCATTAGGCACTCTGATTAATACTCATTATTTAGTGGGGAGAAATATAGAGGTTGTTATTAGAAGACCCAATAGGCCCACTATAACCTTTATATAACATTATATATATTTATATTGATCAATTTTACAGCTTCCAGTTTAAATAAAGGTTCATTCAGTCTCAGTAGATGCATTTTCTATATATTATAGGTATCTTTATATAATTACATATATGTGTATATAATATTGAATATTGACAGATTATAATCACTTACATTTATGGCGTATAGAGTTATGCTTTAATGTATGCATCCAATTTGATATGACTAAATCAAGTTCATACCCATCGCCTCTAATAATTACCATTTATTTCTCCTGTCTCACAGAAACTTTGCACTCTTTCAACAATATCTCTTCATTCCTCTCACTCCTAAATCTCTGGTAACTATTCTGTTCTCTACTTCTAGAATTCAACTATTATAAAGTCCACATAAAAGTGAGAACATATGGTATTTGTCTTTCTGTGCCTGGCTTATTTCACTTAGCATAATGTCTTTGTATTAGTCCTTTTACACACTGCTGTAAAGAACTACCTGAGACTGGGTAATTTGTAAAGAAAAGAGGTTTAATTGACACACAGTTCCTGAGGCTGGAGAGGCCTCAGGAAATGTACAATCATGGCAAAAGACAAAGGGGAAGCAAGACACATCTTACATGGTGGCAGGAGAGAAAGAGTGTGAAGGGGGAAGTGCCACCAGATCTTATGAGAACTCACTCACTATCACAAGAACAGAAAAGGGGAAGTGTGCCCCCATGATTCAATTACCTCCCACCAGGCCCCTCCCCCAACATGTTAGAATTACAATTTGAGATAAGATTTGGGCAGGGATGCAGAGCCAAACCATATTGTTCTGCCCCTGGCCCCTTTAAAATATCATGTTCTTTTCACTTTTCAAAGCCAATCGTGCCTTCCCAAGAGTTCCCCAAAGTCTTAACTCATTCCAGCATTAAACCAAAAGTCCAGTCCAAAGTCTTTCTGAGACAAACAAGTCCATTCCACCTATGAGCCTGTAAAATCAAAAACAGATTAGTTACAATGGGGTTACAGGCATTGGGTAAATACTCCTGTTCCAAAAGGGAGAAATTGGTCAAAACAAAGGGGCTATGGGCCCCATCCAAATCCAAAACCCAGCAGGACAGTCATTAAGTCTCGAAGCTCTGAAATAATCTCCTTTGACTCCATGTCTCACATCCAGGGAATGCTGATGCAACAAGTGGGCTCTCAAGGCCTTAGGCAATTCTACTCTTGTGTGTCTGCAAGATACAGCCCCTTTGATTGCTTTCGTGGATTGGCATTGAGTGCCGACAGCTTTTCCAGGCAGCCAGGGCGAGCTATCGGTGAATTTATCTTTCTGGGTTCTATAGGACTGTGGCCCTCTTCTCACAGCTCCACTAGGCAGTGCCCCAGTAGGAACTCTGTGTGAGGGCTCCAGCCCCACATTTCTCCGGTGCACTGCCCTCATAGAGGTTTCCATGACAGCTCCATTCCTGCAGCACACTTCTGCCTGGATATCCAGGCACTTCCCTATATTATCTGAAATCTAGGTGGAGGTTCCTAAACCTCAATTCTTGTGCACACCTGCAGGCCCAGCAGTATGTGGAAGCTGCCAAGGCTTGGGGCTTGCACCCTCTGAAGCAGTGGCCTGAGCCATGGCTGGAGCTGGAGCTGCTGGGACACGGGTCTTCACGTCCCAAGGCTGCACAGAGGACCGAGGACCTGGGCCCAACCCAAGAAACAATTTTTCCCTTCTAGGCCTTTAGGACTGTGATGGGAGGTGCTGCCGTGAAGATCTCTGAAATGCCCTGGAGACTTTTTCTTCACTTTCTTGGAGATTAACATCAGGATCCTCTTGATTTATGCAAATTTATGCAGCCAGCCTGAATTTCTCCCCAGAAAATGGTTTTTATTTTTTTAACCACATGGTCAAGTTGCAAATTTTCCAAACTTTTAATGTCTTCTTTCCTTTTAAACATAAATTCCAATTTCAAACCATCTCTTTGTGAATGCATGTGACTGTACACTTTTAGAAACTGCCAGGTCAGGGCGTGGTGGTGCATGCCTGTAATTTTCCCAGCTACTTGAGAGGCTGAGGCAGGAGAATCGCTTGAACCTGGGAGGTAGAGGTTGCAGTGAGCCAAAATCACACCACTGCACTCCAGTCTGGGTGACACAGTGAGACTCCATCTCAAAAAAAAAAAAAAAAAAAAAAGGAAAAGAAAAAGAAACCACTCGGTCAAATCTTGAATGCCTTTCTGCTTACAAATTTCTCCTGCCAGATGCCCTAACTTATCTCTCTCAAGTTCAAAGTTTAACAGATCTCTAGGAGAGGGACAAAATGTCACCAGTCTCTTTGCTAAAGCATAGAAAGAGTGACCTTTACTACAGTTCACAATAAGTTCCTCATCTCTATCTGAGACTACCTCAGCCGGGACTTTATTGTCCATATCACTATCAACATATTGATCAAAACTATTCAACAAGTCTCTAGGAAGTTCCAAACTTTCCCATATCTTCCCGTCTTCTTCTGAGCCCTCCAAACTCTCCCAACCTCTGCCTGTTACCCAGTTCCAAAGTCACTTCCACATTTTCAGGTATCTTTGTAGCAGTGCCACACTTTCCTGGTACCAGTTTTCTGTATTAGTCCATTTTCACATTGCTATGAAGAACTACCTGAGAGTGGGTAACTTATAAAAAAAAGAAGTTTTAATTGACTCATAGTTCATGGCTGGAGAGGACTCAGGAAGGTTACAATCATGGCGGAAGGCAAAGAGAAAGCAAGGTACATAGTGACAGGAGAGAGCACAAAACGAGAAGTGCCACACATATTCAAATAATCAGTTCCTTCTCATGTCACTTCGTTCTAATCCTCTGTCATTTAATTGCTCTCTGAAACAGCAGAGAGAGGTTGTTTACTTTTAAGGATTCATGTGATTAAATTAGGCTCACCTGGATAATCCAGGCTAATCTCTCTAGCTCAAACTCCTAACTTTAATCACATTTGCAAAGTCATTGTTCCCATGCAAAGTAATAGATTCACAGGTTCTGAGGATTAAAATATGAATATCTTGGAGGGGGGCATTATTCTGCCTATGCAGAATTTTAATTATACTTTCCCCATTTTCCTTCTTTCTTGACTGATTTTTGTCACGATTTGGAAAATTATAAATTTCCCAAGAAATGCCAGGAAGGAATTTCCATATGGAAACATGGCAATACAGCCTGGAAAACACTATGGACAGTTGCATGGACCTCACAGTAAGGAAATCTAACATAGGCTTCAGGCTGGGGAAAGCTTTATAGACAATGGATGTCATAAATAGGTTTTTGAAGAATGTGTAGTAGTTATCTTTGTGAAAGTTAAGGGAAGAGAGGATTGGAGTCATTAATTCACAGGACTGTGATTAAACTGAGACATACAAATTTCATTTTTAGGGGGAAGTTAAAAATAGTTTAGTATGAGTTCAAATGTAGGAGGAGAGGGATATAAAATTTGAGAGTTAAGCATTGGACCTGTGTAAGTCTATTCTCATGCTGTTAATAAAGACATATCTGAGACTGGGTAACTTATAAAGGAAAGAGGTTTAATTGACTCACAGTTCAGGATGGCTAGGGAGGCCTCAGGAAAGTTAGAATCATGGCAGAAGGGGAAGCAACCATGCCCTTCTTCACATGGTGGCAGCAAGGAGAAGTGCCAAGCAAAAGGAGAAAAAGCCCCTTATAAAACCATCAGATTTAGTGAGAACTCATTATCATGAGAACAGCATGAGGGTAACTGACCCCCATGATTAAATTACCTCCCACAGGGTCCCTCCTGAGACATGGGGGTTGTCAGAACTACAGTTCAAGATGAGATTTGGGTGGGGACACAGCCAAACCATATCAGACCAAACATGAAAGTCTAAGAAGCTTTGACTTTTAAGACAACATTAGGAAGTGCTTGAAGGGTTGTAAACAGTGGCACCACAAAAAAAAAAAAAAAAAAAAAAAAAAAAAAATGTGTTTTTAAGATAACTTCAGAGGCTACAGTACAGAGTATACATTTAAATACAATCAATAGATTAAAATGAAATAAACAGGGATATGGTTCGAGAACATGCATAGTAATCACAATGAGAAACATTACAGTGACTTCAACTAAGTAGAGCAAGAAAAACACTAATATACAGCTACTGCAAGTGCAAGTGAATGCAGTAAATTTGGAAAAGAGTGTGGCAGTATCTAGTTGAAGATACACTTTTCTTACCAGCAATTCTGTAATCACTTGATAGGTTCTTCTTGTCTGCCACGCAGAAAAGCCAATGCAGTGAGAACAGCAGGTTTTGCAGCAAAGAAAGAGTTTAATAATTGCAGGGCCAGCCAAGTGGAAGGATGAAAGATAATGCTCAAATCCACCTCCCTGAGAATTTGGAGGCCAGAGTTTTTCAAGGATAGTTTGGTGGACAGCGGGTAGGGACTGGGGAATGCTAATTTGTTGGGTAAGGGATGAAATCATAAAGGGTCAAAGCTGTCTTCTTGCACTGAGTCAGTTCCTGGATCAGGGGTTCATGAGACCAGCTGAGCCAGTTTTTTTTGTTGTTTGCTTTTTGTTTTTTTGTTTTTTTGAGACGGAGTCTCACTCTGTCACCCAGGCAATGGTGTGATCTCGGCTCACTGCAACCTCCACCTCCTGGGTTCAAGCGATTCTCCTGCCTCAGCCTCCTGAGTAGCTGGGATTACAGACGCGCACCACCATGCCTGGCTAATTTTTATGTTTTTAGTAGAGATGGGGTTTCCCCATGTTGGTCAGGCTGGCGGCTTTTTGTTTGTTTGTTTGTTTGTTTCTTAATGGGTTACCTGTCCAGGTGACATCAGCTGGTCCATCAAAATACAGGGTCTAAAAAATACATCAAGCACCAATCTTAGGCTTTACAGTAGTGATGTTATCTATAGGAGCAACTGAGGAGGCTACAATCTTGTGACTTCCAGCTACATTATTCCTGAACCATAATTTTAACCTTATGCCTAATTTGTTGGTTTTACAAAGGTAGTTTCAGTCCCTTAGCAGGGAGGGGTTACTTTTGGGAAGCAGCTATTATCATCTTTGTTTTAAAATTAAACTATGAATTCCTCCATAGTTAGCTTGGCCTATGCCCAGGAATGAACAAGGACAGTTTGTGAAGTTAGAAGCAAGATAGTCAGCTATGTTAGATTTTTCTCACTCATAATTTTTGCAAAGATGGTTTCAATTCCACTCATTTTTGCATAGAAAATGCATGCTTATGTGTACCAGGATACACATTCAGGAATGTTTAGAGTGGCATCATTTGTAATAACTGAAGGATAGATATAATGTAATAGCTATCAATGGCAATATGGTTATACAAACTGTGATGTGTTCATACGTGGAAGTCTGTATTGCAATGAACAGTATCAGGCAAGTGGTCATCCAACAACATAGATGGAATTTAAAAACATAATGAAAAGTTGATATCAAAGAAGCCAGATCTAATAATATCGTAAATGATTCCATGTGTATAAATATTGAAAACATACATGTATACATGCATGCATGTATACATACATACACTCAGAAGAGTTTGGAAAAGGAAGACTTGCTGAGTCTTCTGGCCTCCATCTTTCTCCCATGCTGGATGCTCCCTGCCCTCAAACATTGGACTCCAAGTTCTTCGGCTTTTGGACTCTTGACACCAGTGGTTTGCCAGGGGCTCTTGAGCCTTTGGCCACAGACTAAAGGCTGCACTGTCAGCTTCCCTACTTTTGAGGTTTTGGGACTCGGACTGGCTTCCCTGCTCTTCAGCTTGCAGACAGCCTATTGTGGGACTTCAACTTCCGATTGTGTGAGTCAATACTTCTTAATGAGCTCTGCTTCATATACACATCTATCCTGTTAGTTCTGTCCTTCTAGAGAACCCTGACTAATACAGATCTAGGTGTACATACAAACAGATTTTGTGTACATACATACATGTATACACACATACACGTATACAACATACATCCCTACACATGCCTGTGTGCACACATACATGTACACGTGCATGCAAGAATACACGTGTCCATACATACGTGTGCACATCCACATACATGCCTACACGCATGTGTGCACACATGTGCACACACGTATGCAAATACATGCATGCACACACATAAATAACGTGTGCATACATGCATGTACATACATGCACACACGTGCACATATGTGCATACACACATAATGCATGTACAATATATACATACATGTAGGCACACATGAGCACAATGTATACATGTACACGTGCATACATGTGCATACACGTGCACACAAACGTACATGTGTATACACGTGTATACACACATGCATACACACATGTACACGTGTAAACAAATGCATGCAAACATGCATGTGCACATTTATGCATACACGAATACCTACACACAAAACACACAAACATACAAACATTCTGTGTACACACATACCTGGATACACATGCATGCACACACACACATGCATCCATGCCTGCAGGCATGCATGTGCAGACATATGTGTACACAAATGCATACCCGCAGATGCATGTACACATGGGTACACACACATACATATAGTTATACACATATGTAGATGCATGTGCACACAGGTGTACATACATGTATACATACACGTGTGTGTTCACATGTACATGCATGTATGTATGTACGTATGCATGTGCAGATACACGTGTACAAACACATGTACACATGTATAGTGCACATATGCACGCACTTGTACACACATTTAGGCATACACATGCATATGTAGATGCATGTGTACATGCATGTATACATCTACACATGCACAGACACATACATGTACACATGCATACTGTGTACATAATACATGTATACAGATACATGTGTGCATGCACGTGTACACACATGCATGCATACACACATGCATTTGTAGATATATGTGTAGGTGTGTACACACAACATACACATATGCATCCACACATACACATATACACATGAGGTGGCACGTTCAGCTTTCAAGAGGACCATCAGGGACTTTGTCACCTTGACAACTTTAGCCTTGCCTTCTAGTCACCTTGCCGGAACACTTGTGCCCGTGTTTTTCTAGCACTGTCATAAGAATACTTTTACCTATCAAGGCAACTGGGGGTTAGGAGAGCTTTTTGCACAGGAGGCTACTTGGCTTTGTTTGAAAACTGATGATACATGAGGATTGGGGTGGTGAATCACTCACATGTTTCTTCATATGAAAAATGAGGACTGTGGGATTCTCTGGCTGGATCTCAGCACCTAGAAATGGATCTGGGCAATAGGAACTGCTCAGTATTAGCTACCGCTTTGGTTGCCTTCTCCTTGCGGAAAGCTGGCCTCTCACACTGAATTTGTATCATAGGCACTCATGAGGGTCTTGACTGTATCAATATCTGATGAGAGATTTTAGTGCAGTTCTGTTATCGTGGCTGATTTGCTCATTTGGTAGCTAGCATCCAGCTTCTTGTGAACATTAAAATAAAATAAAATAGATTATGGAGGAATAGAATACAGATACGTAGTAAGGTATTATTTTCCAGACAAAATGGATTTGGATAAAAGAATCTAATTAAGAACTTGTGCATGATTCTTTTAAAATTCTTTTGAATCCATTTTTTTTTTTTTGGCCTGTTTTCAAGTCTCCGATTTTTGTCACCCTTCTCACACCAGGTCAGAGAGATAGCTAATGGTCAGAAGGAATCTTCCAGCAATGACCATAGCGCTTTCTCCTGCCTGCAGATGCCTCTTTTTATTCAGCCTTTATGGGAAGTAGCAGCACCATCCAGTTCTCAGAGAGCAAGCTCTGGAGTAACTGAGCTAACCCCAGTTACCCCAGTGGATTTACAGATTGAGGTTACAACCCAGCAGGGTTCTCTTCCTGGAAAGAATAGCCTTCCCTCTAAGGTTTCAAATAGACCCTGGGTGAGGAAGGAGCCCTAAACAGCTTGAAAAATTGAATGCTCTTTGGGCAAAGCAGGAAGCCGTCCTATGGAAGAGCATCATTTGAGCATAAATCAGGTTATCAGGACAAACAGAGTGTTCAGGAGGTCAAGATGGTTAAGCAGAGACCCTGACCAGAATGTCCGTGGCGGAGAGAAACAATCTTGTTGGGAAAAGGATGACAATAATTGGGGACTTAGAATAAAGGCTAAAAATGATTCAAAGAGAATGCAAAAAGAATCAGGCACAAATCGTTTACTATACTCTGTTATGCAAATCTCACCTTACTATGTGTTTGTATTCTATTCCTCCACAATCTTTATTTTATTTTAATGTTCAAAGAGACTTGTAGGTGCCAATTAAATGAACAAAACAGCCAGAGACAACAGAACTGCCCTAAAAAAAGTCCCGCATCAGCTCTTGAGAGCAGGTTCCTTAAAGGTGAACAATATTCCACATACAAGGACTTTTTCAGCACCATGCATTAGAAATGGAAGTGAATGTTTATTATTTTTTGTATAAGTTGGTTGATATGGCTTTTCAGCTTCCCTCAGTATCATTATCCAAATTTTGTAGATGACACTAAAGCTCAGAGGAGTTAAACCATTTTCCTTAAATCACATAGCTTTAAATAGGAAAACCAGATATGAAAAGCAGATTTTTTTTCTAAATTAAAAAACCAAAAACAAAAACACGTGAGCTCTTGCTTTACCCTAGCACATAGTCTTGCCATCTGTTTTCTCCACACCAGGTGATTCCTGTAACATTCATTCACATAACAAATACAAATAAATGAGTGGATTCATTCATCAGATATTAATTCAGAATCCCTTTTGTGCCTTCCAGAAATCTGGACCATCTCACAACCCCCAGAGAGTCTCAGCTACAAGGAACAAGTGATAATGCCATCCCACTTTTATAAACACACACACACACACATGCAATACACACACAATCATTTAATCATTTTTAATTATTTAATTATTTTTTAAAAATCAGTGACACTTTAGCTGGGCAGGTCTAGATAGGTCTTCTTTGCTGGGACGTGTCTTTTTCTGTCCTGGAATACCCTAAACTTCACATTTTGGCAGCGTGAGTTTTCCCTTTGTGACTTTCTCCTTCTTCCCTTTTTTCCTCCTTCTTTGCAGAGAATGAGTAGCCACTGCACCTTGCCCTGCGCCATCAATGAGAAGATCTGCTCTTAGTAGAGCCCTGCTTTCCCGCTGAAGGCCCTGAAATCACCTGTGTTCCAGGCCACCCACTAAGGATAAACAAAGCTTCCCTGATATGGGGAATTAGCTCAAGTGGTAGAGCGCTTGCTTAGCATGCAAGAGGTAGTGGGATCAATGCCCACATTCTCCAAGCTTTATTATTTAGGTACCCAAACCCGAGTCAGTGTCTGAGAGCAAGACACTGCTCTCGGTGTCTTTGGTTCAAGACATAGGAGCAGCAACAATACAGGACTGGTGACAGCTTCCTGCTGGCATTCAGTATAGTGTAGATCTACTGTGTAATTAATTTTCTGTTTCTTCGAGGAGCTGTGAAACCAAAGGACATATAAAACTGCTCTTTTCTCCCTGTTTCTGCCTGCAGCTTGGTCCTAAATGTGAGACAATTGTGAAAAGTGGAGGACAGAGCCACCTGGTTAAATACAGCCCCAGCTTTCTGGTGAGAGGACTGAAACCAAGATGTGTCAAGTAACTAGAATGTGCCTGGACAGATACTGTAGAAAGCAAAACCATAAAGTTGTTCATGAGCTTGTGGACGCACCTGCCAGCTGTGAATAAGTGGCTCTAATCCCGAACAACTTACCTAAAAAGAGCCTGAGAGCTGAACTGTGCAATGGCCCACTTTCCAGTCCTCACTGACCACTGGGTTGCACACACTTTGGAGATCTCTGAACAGCAGTGTCAAGGCTTTCAAATAGAGTTATCTTTGAAACGACAACACATGAAAGTCTGGTTGGTACTTGGAGCTTAAATACAAGGCAATTGTGTGCCTGCAAAAACAAAAATAGCAATATTATCCTTAAGATTTCAACAAGACACAGTGTCTCATCACATAATCCAAAGAAGTCCAGGTTACAAGCCCCACAATATTCAGCATTATGAAAAAACAGGGAGATCTTAATTCACATGGCAAAGAGAATCCTCGAATAACAATATTGAGAGGACACAGATGTCAAAATCATCTGACACATACATTAAAGCAGATATTATAACAATGCTCCTAGAATCGGGGATAACATTCGTGAAGTGAATGGAAAGTTGGAAAGTCTCACCAAATATTTCGAATACATAAACACCAATTTAAACTTAAGAATTAAAAAAATGTATTAACCAAAACTCTTAGGGGAAATAAAAAGCTTAATTGGAGGATCTCCATAATCGAATGCAGAAGACTAAGGAAAAAGTCAATGAACTTGAAAACAGAACACGAATACCTACATAATCTGAACTATAGAGAGAAAGGAGGATTTTATTGTCTCTGAACAGAGGCTCAGGCACAAATAAAAAATAACAAATCCAACATTCACATTATTGTAATCTGGAAAGAAGAGGACAAAGTGGTCTTTGTGGGATAAAACTTTGAACAATTAATAGCTGAAAATGGTTCAAATTTGTCAAAAGATATAAACCAGATTTTTAAAGTTCAGTAAATGTCAATCAGGATAAACCCAAAGAAACCCATAGCAAGGCATATCATAATCAAACTGCTGAAAACTAAGAAAATACAAAACAATTTTGAAAGCAGCCAAAGGGAAATGAAAGAGAAACTACCAAATGAATGATTGTAGATTTCGCATCAGGAACCATAGGGGCCAGAAAAAATGTCATAACATTCGGTAAGTAACAAAAGAAAAAGACATATCGACCCAGAATGCTATGTGGAGCAAAAGTATCTTCCAGACATAAAGGCAAATAAATGCATTCTCAGTGGAAGGTAAGTAAATACATTCTCATTCTTAGGAAGACTGCTGGAAAAGAATTAGCAAAGATTTGAGATAAGAAAAATGATACCAGAAGGAAACTTAGAACATCATCAGTGAAGGAACAAAAGCAGAAATAGAACATGTCTGGGTAGACATAACAGACTATTATTCTTCCCTTGAGTTCCTTAAGGTATGTTTGATGATTGAAAGCAAAAATTGTAACTTTATCAGAAGCAGTTGTCATTGTATCTAGATGTACTACATACAGAAGATAAAAGGGTAAGTGTAATGGGACTAACTCTTGATGAAGTTTCTTTATTCAACTTGAATGGTAAAATATTGATTCTAAGTATACTGTGAAAGGTTATATATGTATATGGTAAACCCTAGACCACCTACTAACAAGATTTAAATAAACCAAAACAAGATAGAAAGAGGAACATAGATGAATTAAAACAAAGGGAAACAAGGTTAATACATTATTAAATAATAGACCTATCTAAAAACTTATCTATAATGACATTACATGTAAATAATCTAAACGCATTAATTAAAAACTAGAGATCATCAGAATGTGTTAAAAATAAATATGCTGACTAAAGAAAGCCACCTGCTATACACTTATATATAAGAATAAAAGTTATAGAGCAGATTGAAAGAAAAGAGTGGGAAAAGATACCTCATGCAAGCACTAATCAAAGACAGCTGTGATGTATATATAAAAAAATCAGACAAAGTACATTTGAAAGCAGAGAAACTTTTCAGGAATAATGAGGCCTGCTAAATAATTATGATTGTCAATTTTCCAGGGGAATATTGTCCCAAGTGTATATGAGAACATAGAGCTTCAAAACTCATAAACAAAATTGGATACGCAAGGTAAAAACAGAAAAATCCAATTAGAGTTGCCGACACTAACACTCCTCTCTCGGTAATTGGTAGACTTAGTAGAAAACAAATCAGCAAACATATTGGAGAATTAAACCATACCATCCAGTAATGGACCTATTAACTTCATAATGCAAAATAAAAATTTAGGTAGAAGGCAAAGACAAAAGTTAAAAGAAAAGTAAAGATCATGTTATAACCAGGAAATTAAGAGTAGTCCAGCATATAGAAGAGTGCTATTATTGGAAGAGTTATTTAGTTATTTTGAGACATTTTTTGAAAGAGTTATTTAGCTGGAAATGACAGAAAGACTGAAAATGGTGAATCTGGAGGTGGATCTCCCCTTGTCCATATTTATTTTGTCTTTTTTTGAGGTCTAGGGTGTCTATACTTCCTCTGAATTACCTACAGTGTCTGGCACAGAGCATCTCCCCAGTGAATATGTATTAAATGAGTAGAAAGTAATTTATAGATTCAAAAGAACTGGGCAAGAATAATGTTCATTATTTGACAAATCCTTGAATGTAGTGTTTGAAGGAAGACAATAAGTCAAAGTTGACTTGAAAGGTAAGCCCAAGTCCAGACTCTTTTCTGTAATCCCAGCACTTTGAGAGGCCGAGATGGGCAGATCCCGTGACACCAGGAGTTTGAGACCAGCCTGGACAACACAGTGAAACCCTGTCTCTACAAAAAATACAAAAATTAGCCAGGTGTGGTGGTATGCATCTGTAGTTCCAGCTACTCAGGAGGCTGAGGTGGGAGGATCGCTTGAATCTGGGAGGCGGAGGTTGCAGTGAACAGAGATTGCACCGGTGCCTGGACAACAAAGTGAGACCCTGTCATAAAATAAAATAAAATAAAATAAAATAAAATAAAATAAAATAAAATAAAATAAAATAAAATAAAATAGTTAAACCCAGGCCGGGAGGGGTAGCTCACACATGTAATCACAGCACTTTGGGAGGCTGAGGTGGGCGGATCACCTGAGGTCAGGAGTTTGAGACCAGCCTGGCCAACATGGTGAAACCCCATCTCTACTAAAAATACAAAAATTAGCTGGGCGTGGTTGCAAGCACCTGTAGTCCCAGCTACTCAGGAGGCTGAGACAGGAGAATTACTTGAACCTGGGAGACAGAGGTTGCCGTGAGCCAAGATCTCACCAGTGCAGTACAGCGTGGGTGACAGAGCAAGTAAGTAAAGAGGAGGTTTGGAATTAGATATTTGGTGTATGAATGAATGGGCTAAAGTGCAAAAGAACAGGCAGAATAACTGAGCTGGTACAGAGGAAAAAAATCACACTTAAAATCTAAAAGTATCTGCTTCTCAATTTGGGCTTTCCCACTTAGCAGCTTTGACACCTTAGAAAGAACACTTAACTTACCTGAGCTTCTATTACTTCTAAAAAGTGCATAAAGTGCAGGCTAAGACATAGTTTTTTTGGCAAAATTCAGTCAGACTACATCAAGTAAACTCCCTAAGTCTCCTAGTATAATTCATGGCACAAAAACTGGGGAAAAAACAGGGAGGATATGTTTATAAGTTCAGTTTGGGTTTTTTGTTGAGTGAATGTCTCCAGTCATAGAGATGCAAGTGTAGATACACCGTAAGAGTAGTATGAACAGGAGACACCTTGGAAGGCTATTTCTTCCTTCATTCATTCAGTTGGTCACTCAATGAACTATCATGAATTGAGCACTACCTCTGTTTCTTATCAACAAAGGAGACTACGGAAAAGAAGAGTGACTAAGATCTCTGAAGAAGGGAAAAGCTAGATGACTGGGCCACAAGAGAAAAAAAGCAGCAAGACAGGTACAATTGTTTCTGGTCCCTCAAGCCAGAAGGTCCTATCATTATGTGAATACTGGAAACGGGTGGACTCCACCTGTCCTGAGTGGGGAATTCTTCCAGTGCAGCACTGGCTGATAAGCAGTGATTTCCAAGTAGCATTGATTGTGTTCTTTAAAAGCTAGGAATTGATAAAGCAGCAGTGTGTGGGAAATGAGATTTAATAATCTGGATCTCAGCTCTTAGGAACAGTTGCTCTCTTAGAGCAGCAGGCCACCTGTCAATCTCGTATTCTGAAGGTCCTGAGTTTGAACATCAGACAAGGTACAGCTTTTGCCGCTCTTTCCGTTAAGGGAAATGAAATAGGTGTGATAAATAATGTAACACAAATGCTATGAGATAATGATTTCAAGACAGTCCAAATATTAGCTTAAAATTTAAAAATGAGCTTTTCTTTTTTCTTTCTTTCTTTCTTTCTTTCTTTCTTTCTTTCTTTCTTTCTTCCTTTCTTCTTTCTTTCTTTCTTTCTTTCTTTCTTTCTTTCTTTCTTTTTCTCTTTTTCCTTCTTTTGGCTTCTTAGTGGTTTGAATACAAGGCGTGGTGAAGAGATATAAATTACACAAGAAACTACAAGCTATGTCATATGTCTACCTCTCTAGCTGACAAGGGAAGCAGGGGAAATTTCTCTTCCAATTGTCTGCTCTGAAGGTCATCCAAACATAATTATCAGGTGGGGTGGGTGAACTCTTTTATTCTTTTAATCATCCAACAAATATTTCTCAAGCGCATACCTTGTTAAGAGACTGTTTTGGGTACAGTAATTCACAGTGAATAAAACACAGATATTCTCACCTTTGTGATACTACGTCATAGTTGCAAGGAGTGGGGAGAAACAGACAGGAAGCAAAGAAGAAAAATAAACAAGAAGTCATGTGATAATATCTACTGGGAGGGACTCATTAGGCAGTAAAGGACTCGGCAGTGTGGAGGTGACACATTCAGTTTTCAGTAGAAGAATCAGGGAAGTTGTCACTTTGAAGCTATCATTTAGCTTCCCTTTCTTTCAATCTTCTTTCTTTACATGGGAAATAAGGATTGTGGGATATTTTTGGGTGGATCACAGCACCTAGAGATGGACCTGATCAATAAGAACTGCTCAGTAAGCATTAGCTACTGCTTCGGTTGCCTTCCCCCTGTGGAGTGCTGGCCTCTTGGATTGAGCTTGCATCATAGGTGTTCAGTAGGAGCTTGCTTAGTGGATTTATAGGTTGAGGTTAGAACCCACTGGAATTCTCTTCCTGGAAAGAACAGGCTTCTCTTTAAGGTTTCATACAGACCCTGGTTGAGGAAAGAGCCCTAAATTGCTTGAAAAATTGAATGCTCTATGGGCAAAGCAGGAAGCCCTCCTATGGAAGGGCATCATTTGGGCATATATCAGGGTCTCAGTAAAAACATGAGTGCTCAGGAAGTCAAGATGGTTAAGCAGAGAATCTGACCAGAATGTTCATGGTGCGAAGAAATAATCTTGTTGGGTGTAGGATTACAACAACTGGGAAATTAGAATACAGGCTAAATGAGATTCAAAAATAATACAACAAGAATCAGGCACAAATCCTTTACTACTACATTCTTTTGTACAAATCCATTTTGCCTAGAAAATCGTACCTTACTATACATCCCTATTGTGTTTCTCCACCATCTATTTTACTTTTTAAACTTTATTTCATTTTTGTCATCACAGAAGCTTGTTGCTACAAAATAAATGAGCAAATCAGCCAATGGCAACAAAGCTGCACTGATCTCTCTCCTTAGACCTTCAGAACATTTTCCTTAAAGGTGAACAATACTCCACGTTCAAGGACTTTTTCAGCACTATGTGCTAGAAACTATGCTGACTGTTTATTAATTTTTATGTAAGTTGGTCGATATAGTTTCTCAGCTTCCCCAAGTATTATTACCACAGTACTATAGATGACACTGAAGCTCAGAGCAGTTAAACCATTTTCCTCAGATCACATAACTTTAAAGAGGGAAACCAGATATGGGAAGCAGATTTCTTTCTAAATGAAAAAATCATGAGCTCTTGCTTTCACTTAGCACATAGTCTCATCATCTGTTTTCTTCACACCAGCTCACTCATGTAACATTCATTCATTTACCAAATACAGATAAATGAGTGGATTTATTCTTGCTTTCATCAGATACTAATTCAAAATCGCTTCTGTGTCTGCTACACTGTGCTCAAGACTTGCCAGTGCCTTTGTCTCCTCTCCCTCAAATCTCTCCACCCAATGTCTTGACAAATACTGTAGATTCTTCCTGCATAACCTCTCCAGAATCTTTTCCTTCTGTTATCCATGCTACAGTGTTTATGGAGGATGTTTTCTTCACCTATGAAGTGTGATGGGGGCTGAAGCTGCAGCAAGACTCATGCTGTTCACCTCAGGAGCTGACACAGTAAATGTGGATAAACCTCAATCCTTTAATATCTTTATGACTTCTTTCCCAGTTACCCCAGCGAATTTACAGATTGAGGTTAAAACCACAACAGGATTATCTTCCTGGAAAGAATAGGCTTCCCTTTAAGGTTTCACATAGATACTGGGTGAGGAAGGAGCCCTAAATTGCTTGAAAAATTGAATGCTCTTTGGGCAAAGCAGGAAGCCTTGCTATGGAAGAGCATCATTTGAACATAAATCAGAGTCTCAGTACAAACAGAGTGCTCAGGACATCAAGATGGTTAACCAGAGAGCCTGGCCAGAATATCTGCGGTGGAGAGAAACGATCTTGTTGGGAGAAGGATGACAATAATTGGGGACTTAGAATAAAGGCTAAAAATGATTCAAAGAGAATGCAAAAAGAATCAGGCACACATCCTTTACTCTGTTGTGCAAATCTCACCTTACTGTGTGTTTGTATTCTATTCCTCCACAATCTTTATTTTATTTTATTTTTATGTTCACAGAGATTTGTTGGTGCCAACTAAATGAGCCCAACAGCCAGTGACAACAGAACTGCACTAAAAAAAGTCCCTCATCAGCTCTTGAGAGCAGGTTCCTTAAAGGTGAACAATATTCCACATACAAGGACTTTTTCAGCACCATGCATTAGAAATGGAAGTGAATGTTTATTATTTTTTGTATAAGTTGGTTGATACGGCTTTTCAGCTTCCCTCAGTATCATTATCCAAATTTTGTAGATGACACTAAAGCTCAGAGGAGTTAAACCATTTTCCTCAAATCACATAGCTTTAAATAGGAAAACCAGATATGAAAAGCAGATTTTTTTCTAAATTAAAAAAAAAAAAAAAACTTGAGCTCTTGCTTTACCCTAGCACATAGTCTCACCATCTGTTTTCTCCATGCCAGGTCATTCATGTAACATTCATTCACATAACAAATACAAATAAATGAGTGGATTCATTCATCAGCTATTAATTCAGAATCTCTTTTGTGTCTACCACACTAGGCTCAAGACTTCCCAGTGTCTTTGTCTCCTCTCCCTCAAATCTCTCCACCCAATGTCTTGACAAATACTGTAGATCCTTCCTGCACAGCATCACCAGAATGTTTTTCTTTCTTTTCATTCACCTCTGTCATCATCCATGCTATGGTGTTTATGGAGGATGTATTCTGCAGCAGGAAGTGTGATGGGCACTGACGCTGCAGAAAGACTCCTGTTGTCCACCTCGGGAGCTGACACGATAAATGCGGGTAAATCTCAATCCTTTAATATCTTTATGACTTCTTTCTCTTTCTCTTCAATTTCTATTTTCTCATGTTCAAGCTCTGACATTCAAAACTAAACACCTTTCTCTAACATGTTGCTTTAATTATTTAAGCATTCTGCCTGGGATTTTTTCAATTACTCTTGGGAGTTTTCATAAAACTCTACCAACATATCTCCAAGTGGCCAGGCTTTTCAATCACTGCTTCCCTCCGTGTGTATTTCACACACACACACACACACACACACACACACACAGCACTTAAATTGAACAGGTTTATTTCTTCACACAGGAATTCCTACGAACAGCCCGGTTTTCTCCACCATATGTCCACTCCTTCTCTGCATAGCTGAATTTTGATTCTTACACTCTAATATTTTACATATTCTTACACTCTGATATGATCTTGTCTCTTATTCTTTATGGCTCTGCTCTGTAATTTTGTTGTTGTTGTTCTGAGATATAGTTGGACATGTAACTTGTACATGACACACCTTAGCAAGGAGGCAACCTATATCTCAGATGCAAGTGAAAGAAGCACTCCCCAGGGGTTTCCTAAGGTAGTGGTCAGCACGCTGGCTTCATTCCTGAAAGGGCCTAGTTATGAAAACAACAGGAGCTTTTTGCCTTCCAGAAATCTGTACCATCTCAAAATCCCCAGAGAGTCTCAGCTACAAGGAACAAGTGATAATACTATCTCACTTTTATAAACACACACACACAACACACACACACAAAATCATTTAATCATTTTTAATTATTTAATCATTTTTTAAAAATCAGTGACACTTTAGATGGGCAGGTCTAGGCAGGGCCTCCTTTCCTGGAATGTGCCTTTTTCTGTCCCGGAATACCCTAAACTTGACATTTTGGCAGTGTGAGTTTTCCCTTTTTGACTTTCTCCTTGTTCCCTTTCCTCTTCCTTCTTTGCAGAGAATGAGTAGCCACTGCACCTTGCCCTGGGCCATCAGTGAGAAGATCTGCTCTTAGTAGAGCCCTGCTTTCCCGCTGAAGGCCCTGAAATCCCCTGTGTTCCAGGCCACCCACTAAGGATCAATAAAGCTCCCCTGATGTGGGGGAATTAGCTCAAGTGGTAGAGCGCTTGCTTAGCATGCAAGAGGTAGTGGGATCGATGCCCACATTCTCCAAACTTTATTATTTAGACCCTGGGTCTCCAAACACTCAGGTCTCCAAACCCAAGTCAGAGAACAGGATGCTGCTTTGGTTCAAGATGTAGGAGCAGCAACAATACAGGGCTGGTGACGGCTCCCTCCTGGCATTCAGTATAGTGTAGATCTACCGTGTAATTAATTTTCTGCTTCTTTGAGGAGCTGTGAAACCAAGGGACATAAACAATTGCTCTTTTCTCCCTGTTTCTGCCTGTAGCTTGAATGTGAGGCAACTGTGAAAAGTGCAGGGCAGAGCCACCTGGGTAAATACAGCCCTGGCTTTCTGGTGAGAGGACTGAAACCAGGATGTGTCAAGTAACTAGAATGTGCCTGGACAGATACTGTAGAAAGCAAACCCATAAAGTTGTTCATGAGCTTGTGGACGCACCTGCCAGCTGTGAATAAGTGGGTCTAATCCCAAACAACTTACCTAAAAAGAGCCTGAGGACTGAACTAAACAATGGTCCGCTTTCCAGTCCTCACTGACCACTGGTTGCACACACTCCAGAGATCTCTCATCCGCAGTGTCAAGGCTTTCAAATAGAGTTATCTGTGAAACAACAACACATGGAAGTCTGGTTGGTACTTGGAGCTTAAATACAAGGCAATTGTGTGCCTGCAAAAACAAAAAGAGCAATATTATCCTTAAGATTTCAACAAGACACAGTGTCTCATCACATAATCCAAAGAAGTCCAGGTTACAAGCCCCAAAATATTCAGCATTATGAAAAACCAGGGAGATCTTAATTCACATGGCAAAGAGAATCCTTGCATAACAATATTGAGAGGACACATATGTCAAAATCATCTGACACATACATTAAAGCAGTTATTATAACAATGCTCCTAGAATTACGGGATAGCATTCATGAAGTGAATGGAAAGTTGGAAAGTCTCACCAAATATTTGGAATATGTAAACACCAATTTAAACTTAAGAATTAAAAAAAGTATTAACCAAAACTATTAGGGGAAATAAAAAGCTTAATTGGATGATCTCAATAGCAGTATGCAGAAGACTAAGGAAAAAGTCAATGAACTTGAAAACGGAACAAGAATACCTACAGAATCTGACCTATAGAAAGAAAGGAGGATTTTATTGTCCCTGAACAGAGGCTCAGGGACAAATAAAAAATAACAAATCTAACATTCACATTATTGTAATCTGGAAACATTCACATTATTGTAAGAGGACAAAGAGGTCTTTGTGGGATAAAACTGTGAAGAATTAATGGCTGAAAATGTATCAAATTTCTCAAAAGATATAAACCAGATTTTTAAAGTTCAGTAAATGTCAAGCAGGATAAACCAAAAGAAACCCATTGCAAGACATATCATAATCAAACTGCGGAAAATTAAGAAAACACAAAACAATTTTGAAAGCAGCCAAAGGGAAATGAAAGATAAAATACCAAATGAATGATTGTAGATTTCTCATCGGGAACCCAGGAGCCAGAAAAAAATGTCATAACATTCAGTAAATACCAAAGGAAAAATACATTATCAACCCAGAATGGTATGTGGAGCAAAAGTATCTTCCAGACATAAAGGCAAATAAATGCATTCTCATTGGAAGGTAAATAAATACATTCTCAGTCCTAGCAAAACTGCTGGAAAAGAATTAGCAAAGGTTTGAGATAAGAAAAGTGATACCAGAAGGAAACTTAGAACATCATCAATGAAGGAACAAAAGCAGAAATAGAAAATGTCTGGGTAGACATAACAGACTATTATTCTTCTCTTGAGTTCCTTAAGGTATGTTTGATGGTTGAAAGCAAAAATTGTAACTTTATCTGATGCAGTTGTCATTGTATCTAGATGTACTACATACATAAGATAAAAGGGTAAATGTAATGGGACTAACTCTTGATGAAGTTTCTATATTCAACTTGAATGGTAAAATATTGATTCTTAGTATACTGTGAAAAGTTATATATGTATATGGTAATCCCTAGACCACTTAACAACCAGATTGAAATAAACCAAAACAAGATAGACAGAGGAACATAGAAGAATTAAAACAAAGGGAAAAAAGGTTAATAAATTATTAAATAGTAGATCTATCTAAAAACTTATCTATAATAACATTATATGTAAATTATCTAAATGCATTAAGTAAAAACTAGAGATCATCAGAATGTGTTAAAAATAAATATGCTGACTAAAGAAAGCCACCTGCAATACACTTATAAATAAGAATAAAAGTTATAGAGCAGATTGAAAGAAAAGAGTGGGAAAAGATACCTCATGCAAGCATTAATCAAAGACAGCTGTGGTGTATATATATAAAATCAGACAAAGTAGATTTGAAAGCAGAGAAACTTTTCAGGAATAATGAGGCCTCCTAAATAATTATGATTGTCAATTTTTCAGGAGAATATTGTCCCAAATGTATATGAGGACACAGAGCTTCAAAACTCATAAACAAAATTGGATACGCCAAGTAAAAATAGAAAAATCCAGTTATAGTTGCAGTCATTAACACTCCTCTCTGAGTAATTGGAAGATTTAGTGGAACACAAATCAACAGACATACTGGAGAATTGAACCATGCCATCCAGTAATGGACCTATCAATTTCATAATGCAAAATAAAAATTCAGGTAGAAAGCAAAGACAAAAATTAAAAGAAAAGCAAGATCATGTTATAATGAGAAAATTAAGAGTAGTCCAGTGTATAGAAGGGTGCTATTATTGAAAGAGTTTGAAATAGTGACTTAGTTATTTTGAAACATTTTTGAAGACGTTATTTAGCTGGAAATGACAGAAAGACTGAAAATGGTGAATGTGGAGGTGGATCTTCCCTTGTCCATATTTATCTTGTCTTCGTTTGAGGTCTGGGGTGTCTATACTTCCTCTGAATTACCTGATCTTACTACAGTGTCTGGCACAGAGCATCTCCCCAGTGAATATGTACTAAATGAGTAGAAAGTAATTGATAGATTCAAAAGAGTTGTGCAAGAATAATGTTCATTATTTGACTAATCACTGAATGTGGTGTTTCAAGGAAGACAATGAATCAAAGTTGACTTGAAAGGTAAGCCCAGGGCCAGACGTGGTGGCTCATTTCTGTAATCCCAGCACTTTGGGAGGCCGAGATCAGTGGATCCCTTGACACCAGGAGTTTGAGACCAGCCTAGGCAACACAGTGAAAACCTGTCTCTACAACAAATACAAAAATTAGCCGGGTGTGGTGGTATGCATCTGTAGTTCCAGCTACTCAGGAGGCTGAGGTGGGAGGATCGCTTGAACTCAGGAGGTGGAGGTTGCAGTGAACAGAGAACGCACCGGTACCTGGACAACAAAGTGAGACCCTGTCATAAAATAAAATAGTTAAACCCAGGCCAGGAGGGGTGGCTCATGCCTGTAATCCCAGCACTTTGGAAGGCCAAGGTAGGCTGATCACGTGACGTCAGGAGGTTGAGACCAGCCTGGCCAACATGGTGAAACCCCGTCTCTACTAAAAATACAAAAATTAACCAAGCGTGGTGGCAGGCACCTGTAGTCCCAGCTACTCTGGAGGCTGAGACAGGAGAATTACTAGAACCCGGGAGGCAGAGGTTGCAGTGAGCCAAGATCTTACCATTGCACTGCAGCCTGGGCGACAGAGTGACACTCTGTCGAAAAAAAAAAAAAAAAAAAAGTTAAGCCCAAAAAGTAAGTAAGGAAGAGGTTTGGAATTAGATATTTGTTGTATGAATGAGTGAGCTAAAGTGCAAAAGAACGGGCAGAATAACTGAGCTGGTACAGAGGGAAAAAATCACATTTAAAATCTAAAAATATCTGCTTCTTAGTTCAGGCTTTCCCACTTAGCAGCTTTGGCACCTTAGGAACACTTAACTTATCTGAGCCTCTATTACTTCTAAAAAGTGCATAAAGTGCAGACTAAGACAGTTTTTTTGGCAAAATTCAGTCAGACTACATCAAGTAAACTCCCTAAGTCTCCTAGTATAATTCATGGCACAAAAAATTGGGGAAAAAACAGGGAGGATATGATTATAAGTTCAGTTTATGTTTTTTGTTGAGTGAATGTCTCCAGTCATAGAGATGCAAGTGTAGATACACAGTAAGAGTAGTATGAATGGGAGACACCTTGGAAGGCTATTTCTTCCTTCCTTCATTCAGTTGGTCACTCAGTGAACTATCATGAATTGAGCACCGCCTCTGTTTCTTATCAACAAAGGAGACTGCGGAAAAGAAGAGTGACTAAGATCTCTGAAGAAGGGAAAAGCTAGATGACTGGGCCACAAGAGGAAAAAAAGCAGCAAGACAGTTACAATTGTTTCTGGTCCCACTTTTATAAACACACACACACACACACACACACACACACACACACACAAAATCATTTAATCATTTTTAAGTATTTAATCATTTTTTAAAAATCTGTGATGCTTTACCTGGGCATGTCTAGGCAGGTCCTCCTTTGCTAGGACGTGCCCTTTTCTGTCCCGGAATACTCTAAACTTGGCATTTTGGCAGCGTGAAGTTTTCCCGTTGTGACTTTCTCCTTGTTCCCTTTTCTCCTCCTTCTTTGCAGACAATGAGTAGCCACTGCTGTTTGCCCTGGCCCATCAATGAGAAGATCTGCTCTTAGAGCCCTGCTTTCCTGCTGAAGGCCCTGAAATCACCTGTGTTCCAGGCCACCTGCTAACAATAAATAATGCTGCCCTGATGTGGGGAATTAGCTCAAGTGGTAGAGCGCTTGCTTAGCACGCAAGAGGTAGTGGGATCGATGCCCACATTCTCCAAGCTTTATTATTTAGACATCGTGTCTCCAAACACTCAGGTCTCCAAACCCAAGTTAGTGTCTGAGAACAGGATGCTGCTTTGGTTCAAGACGTAGGAGCAGCAATAATAGAGGGCTGGTGATGGCTCCCTCTTGGCATTCAGTATAGTGTAGATCTACCATGTAATTAATTCTCTGTTTCTTTGAGGAGCTGTGAAACCAAGGGACATATACAACTGCTCTTTTCTCCCTGTTTCTACCTGCAGCTTTGTCCTAAATGTGAGACAATTATGAAAAGTGCAGCGCAGAGCCACTTGGGTAAATACAGCCCCGGCTTTCTGCTCAGGGGACAGAGTTTGAGGCACTGCAGAGGAACCGGCCAAAGTATGAGACCCATATATTGAGAGTAACAGAGTGTAAAGTTCAAAAAAATCAAAATATTTAAAGATTTATCATGGGTCTTGATGACATGATGGAATCTCTCTACTCTCTGGACTTATTATGTGTGGTAATAAATTTACTTTTTAAAAGCCAGTTGAGTGTTTTTAATGTTGTGGAGCTATTGCTAAGAGTTTCCTGAGTTTTTTCCAGTAATGTAGAGATCTTTGTGCTAAATATTTCATAAAGAAGTTTGGTGGGTTATGTGTTCTAAATCCTAATCACTGGCATTAACTCAAACCAGCCATATAAAAGGTATGAAAAATGTCTGTCTGGCGTGCACTTGGTTCACTGAGCTTTTGCTTTCCTGTCAGCAAATTAGACATTCTCCTCACTTAGGAGGCCAACTTCTCAGCCACTGGCTCCAGCCTAGCCCTATGGTCTGTCAGTGGCTTTAGATTTAATTGACACATGCCCAGCCCCAACTCTCTCCTGCCTTAAGGATATAAGAGCCATTGTGAGCCGCAAAGTTATTATATCCGAGAACCCAGAAAACCACTTTTGTATATAGCAGTCCGCTGTTTTCTCATTTAAACATATGGGTTGGAATAGCATAGGATCATACACCTGTGAGCCTACCTGTTTTACAAGTTAAAACTTTTTCCTGATTCTTGCAAGCATTTTTTCTCACTCAACCCTACATGCATGTGTGCAGAATTTTAAGGTAAAATTAGTTTTTGTAGACACTGAATGTGCTGCCCTCAAGGAATATTACAATGGAGTAGGGAAGACAGTTGAGCAAACAGCTGTTTACAATTCTGATAAAAGTCACAATTGAGATGAATACTCTGTACACTAAAAGTACAGAAAGGAACACTACTCTTGAGAATGAGTAGCCTGATAGGATTTGCCAGTGTTTCTGTTATTTCATTTGTTCATACCGGTCCCTGACACCTGGTTTCCTTTTCAAGCAACAAAATCCTAAAATCTCCATCATCTGCTGCTTTCACGTTCCTCACCACTGAGGTCAAGGACCCGAGGCTGGCAGGAAATTGAACTAATGACACTTCAAGAAGACCATGAATCTTTTCATTTTTTCAGCTGGAAAGCTGAGAGCAGACAAATGGCAGGGAGGCCAAGTGCTATCAACCACATTTAGAAATTTTATTTAATCTGCACATCTTTATTTGGTAGAAAGTTTTACAAATAAAATTTAACACAAAACAATTTTTTTGAAAAACCATGTTGACTTAAGCAGAGCCAATGATGCAAAGCATAATGTATCAGAAGATTCCTGATTCAACTGCTAGCTTGAAGTCGCCCCCTCCTTGTGTTCTGGAAAGATGGGGTGTTGTTTATCATCCACATATCAAAAAGTAAACAGAAAGCAGTATTTCCGAAACCTTTTCTTTATAAGGAGATCTTCATAAAACTTGCATTATTACCCTTGTTGGATCATAACACACCTGAGAAAGATTGGGTGGAGGAAGGTGAAGAAGGCTGGAAAAGATTTACAAGGGAATAAATCAAGAATCTGGTACAAATTGACTAATGGTATCTTCTGCATCAGCCCATTTCGAGTGAAAAGTCCCCCGTTTTAGAACTTTTGGCTCTTTGTTTTAATGCTCCCTCCTGAGAATTAACAAAAATTTTGATTACTCTGGGCACGCTACCTGATTAGCCCTGCTCCGCAAGGAGCAGTTATATATATATAATCACACACTCACACACACACATTTTTCAGGGAATCCTGCCTAATTTCTTCCGAAGTTCAGCTGTCTCAGTTCACACCAAACAAGTTACACGATTTCATAACGGATAGAGGACAGAAGCTTAAGGAGGGAGGGCCGAATGCACCGGGAACCCTAGTCAAGTGTAGGAAATCATCACGAGCGAGGCGAAGCAGGTCGTGGGAGACGAGACCTTCACTCAGGAACGGGGACGATGTGAATCGTGTTTCTATCGAGTGGCTGGGGGACCGGGTTGGGATCAGCCAGGAGGAGGTAGCCGCACAAGGCTTAGCTGGGTCTCCCGCGCAGACATCTCCTGGACAGCGACCCAGCGCCGCGCAGGCGCTCACGGCCCGGCTCCAGGGCTGCGGGTGGCGAGTCCCTGCCTGCCCGGAGCTCGCCCTCGGGGAAGGACGGACGCCTCGCGACGGCCGCGGACGCACCAGCGCAAGTGGTTCCTTGGAATCTCCCCATGTAATTCCACATGAGATTAAATTTTTAAAGCGCCTCATACTCGTGACCCATGGGTCAATGCCATCTAGCAACCATTCAGTGGCTGAATCCTCAGACAGGCACTCAGCATCCCCAGAGCCTAGGGGCATGCCATATGCCCCCACATAAAGATTTGTTGAATGAATGAAGGTGTCTAACTCCATTGTCTTGCCCTATTAAAGATGTATACTTTCTCTGCCTAGACCATTATGGTAATACCCTGACCTTCCTCATGATCTTTGCACTCAATTCTCAACTCTGTGCCCTATTGGAATGGTACTGAAATGCAAATTCAGTTACAGTCTCTCCTAAATTCATTTACCAGCAAACTTTGCTTACAGTGCTTAAACATTTTATCCTGACATTCAAAGCCCTTCCTAAAAAGCTGGCCTCTCTCGCAGCTTTACTCCTGGAATTCAATCCTATGCACACTCTCAGAAAACAAAATCATTGTTAATTCACCTTCAAAACCTGTTGTTTTATTCTTCTGAGACTTTGCAAATACCTTTGAGCAAGGCATCTTGATAGCTCCTCATTTTTAAATGTAACTGTGGATACCACCTTGAGTGGAGATGGAAAGAAAAGGGAAGCTGAAGGATAATGGATTGTAAAAATTCATGCTTTCTCATTCTTGTCTGGTTTGATAATCAGTGCCTAGAAAGGAGTCAAAGAAGGTTTTCTTTATATATGTTCTAAATAACACAAAACCTAGCTCCGCATTAAAGCCTTAGAATTAGTTTCTGGGATTAATTAAAAAAGCAGTCGACTTCAGACTGTCATATTCAGATTCCCACAGATGTTGCAGCCACAAGGCAGAATACTAACCACTATAGGATCATGACAGGCCACTGGGAAAAGCTGATGACTTCTACTTATTACAAATTTGTCATGCCAATTGCCTTTTCATCAAACCAGTAAGAGCTCAAAAGGGCATACTTTATGATTACAAAGTGGAAATAACTTTGCAAAATCTTCATGGGTAGACGAATCTTGCTTATTTTCACCTGTGGCTAATTATCTTGCTCATTCCAGAAAACCAGAAAGGCTCACAGCTTGCCATCTTATCTTGGTTTAAGAATTCTTTTTGAACTTACCCTGTGAAAGAAAACACACAGAAGAAAGCTTTCCCTCTGCATGTCACTGATTTCTGAACAGGAAAATACAAGAAAAGTATTATCATAACTGTAGACACTGGGTATAAACTGGGGGATCTAGATTGTCAGCTTTTCAAGAAGCTTATATTCTAGGGGAGAGATAGAAAATAAAACAATAATTTAATATGTTTTCCAATTTATTAAAAATTTTATTTAAAAGATGGAGAGAGAGACAGGACATTGATTCAGCTGGAGAGGTCAAAGAAGGGCTCTCTGAGACAGTGACATTTGAGTTGTGGCCTCAGTGTTGAAAATGAGTCCACTCTTCTGGGTCTGGAGCAAAAGTGGCGGAGTTCAGAGGCTGACAGCTGGGGTCTGGGCCTCTGTGGGCAGCCAGAAGATGAGCCAATAGAGTACCCCACTTACCAGACTGACGGCAGAGCCAAATATGAAAATGTTCTTTTTTCTCAAGCCTCGAGACTGCACACCAAAGTCCCAAGCAATCAAGGAAACTCCATTTCCAGTTCCTTGGTGTCTCTAAGGCATAGGCTCAAAGTGAAGCAGACTTTTCCCTGAGGTGAAATGCAGAGACAGTCCCACTGCTCAGCTCAGTGTGGATCATGACCTTCCTGCCCTTCCCTTCTAGCTCACCCTCACCAGATTCTGAGGACTGATGAGGAAGGAATTGCTTTACAGCATTTTCTGCTGAGCATTTATTGCATGATTAGGTCAATCTCCAGCTCACTGTGCACTTACAGAAAAAAAATCTACCAGGTTTCATGTGTGACCTTGAAAAATGTCCTCATTTCTTCTGTTTGTAATTTAGTAGGTTATCCAGAGGAATTTTCCCTGGATGTTATCACATTACACAGTAGACAGAGTACTGCAAAGGTGAGGCCCAAGGCAGATGGAAATAACCACAGTTAACTGCCTGCTGCCACATACACCGTATTCCTGATCTGCCTGTGAGACTTTTTTCTAAGGATTTAGTTTATGCCAAATGTTTCATTCCCTGACTCTGGCTTTCTCTCTGTCTGTCATCTCCAGTGTCAGATACCAGCCTTTCTTATTTTTGAGGCTAAATCTCCACATAAATCTCAGTCTCAATTAGCAAAAAGCTCTTCCCATCACCACTAAAATAACCTTATTTTGGGCCCAGAGTATGGGGAATGGATGTCTGCTCCAACCCTCTGTAATGCAGCCTGCGTTCTCTTGGTTTTCTTTACCTTTTACAGTCCTTTACTTGGAGTGTTAGTGAAATAATTGCCAAGCCCAACCTGTACATGCCCAATGAAGAAAGAACCAAAAACCCCAACATCCATTACTATCTACATTTGAACCTCTGAATAAGTGGAATAGTTCTTCTATTTATCAGACATTAATTCAGAATCTCTTTTGTGTCTGCCACCCAGGTTCAAAACTCCCAATTGCCCTTGACTTCTCCTCCCTCAAATCTTTATACTTAGGGTTTTTATAGATACTGTAGAGCCTTCTTATACAACCTCTCCAGAATATTCTTTTCTCATTTGTCTGTTCTTTCATCCATTCTACAACATTTATTTAGAGTGTATTTTGAATTAGGCGCTGATGATGAAGAAAGACTCATGCTGTTGACCTCAGGACCTGACAGAATAAATGAGGATGAACCTGGATCCTTAATTTTTTTAATAATTTATTTCGCTTTCTCTCCAATTCCAACCTCTTTAAACTTCACAACTAAAATCCTCTTCCTAAAATGTTGCTTCGATTACATAAGCCACCCGCCTGGAGTTAATCCTCTCCTCAATATATCTGCAAATGTCTAGGCTTTCCCAACACTATTTCCATCAATACGCATTTTACAAACATACACACACACACCCACCAATTAAATAGGTATGTCCCACAATACACACTGAAAGATTTCTATACCATCACTGTTCTTTCTGTCCTGTGTGCCATCTTCATCTTCATTTCTCAGCTATATCTATTTTTATTTCTTCTCTTTAATATGGCCTTGCCCCTTGCCACCTTTCTGTAATACATTTCTGGTTTTTTGCTATTCACTTATATGGTATGGTTATGTGACTACATATGAAATACATAAACAGGGATTGAAATTTAAGTTGTTATAAGTTTAAAATAGCCGGTTATAATTATATAATTATAAAATGTTTTAGGTAAACCTCACGATAACCACGAGACAAAAACCTATAGTAAATCCACAAAAGATAAAGAGAAACAAATAACAGCATACTACCACAGAAAATAATTGAATCACCAATCAAAACAGCAAGAGAGGAAGAAAGGAACAAAAAACCCTAAAAAACAACCAGAAAATACTTAACAAAATGTCAATACTATGTCCTTAACTGCCAATAATTGCCGTCATGTAAATGGATTAAATTCTTCAATACAAAGATATAGAATGGCTAACTGGATTATTAAAAATATATCCCAAAAAAGACCCAACTGTATGCTGCCTACAAGAAATTCACCTCACCTTTAAGGACACACAGATTGAAAGTGAAGAGATGGGAAAAGACATTCTGTGCAAATGGAAATGAAAAGAGAGCAGATATACTTATATCAGATAAAGTAGACTTAAAGTCAAAAATTGTGAAAAGAGAGAAAGGGGTCTTTATATTATGATAAAAAGGTCAATTCATCAACAGGATATAACAATTATCAATTTATATGCACCCAACATTAGAGCACCTAAATATAGAAAGCAAATATTCATAGATCTAAAGAAAGAGATAGACTGCAATAGAATAATATGAGGGGACTTCAGTCCCCCACTTTCAACTATGAACAGATCATCCAGAGAGAAAATCAATAGAAAATATTGGACTTGATATATACGTTAGACTAAATGGACCTAACAGACATATACAGAATATTCCACCCAACAACAGTAGAATGTCACTTCTATTTAACATGGTGCTGGAAGTCCTAGCCAGAATACACATTCTGGTCAGGTGCACATGAAACACTCTCCAGGACAGGCCATAGATAAGGCCACAACATGAGTCTTAACAAATTTGAGAAGACTGAAATCATATCAAGTATCCTTTCTGGCCACAATGGCATGAAACAAGAAATCAACAACAGGAGGAATTTTTGAAAATTCACAACTATGTGGAAATTAAACAACATGCTCCTGAACAACCAATGGGTCAAAGAAGAAATCATAAGGGAAATTGAAAAATTACTTTGGGACAAATGAAAATGGAAATACAATATACCAAAACTTACAGGATACAAGAGCAGTTCTAAGAGAGTTTTCATCAAAAAAGATGAAAGATCACAAATAGACTACCTAGCATCCATTACACCTCAAGGACTGGAAAAACAATCAACTAAGCTAGTTACAAAGTTAGTAGGAAGACGGAAATGATAAAGATCAGAAGAAGTAAACAGAAGATAGAAAAAATAAAGAGACCAACCAAACTAAGAATTTTTTTTAAAGGTAAATAAAATTTACAAACCTTTAGCTAGACTGATTAAGAAAAAAAATGCAAAGACTCAAATAAAATCAGAAATGTAATCAGAAATGAATTGAAGAGGTAACGACTGTTACCACAGAAATACAAAGGATTATTTAAAAACTACTATGAACAATTATATGCCAACAAATTGGATAACCTAAAAACTGGATAAATTCCTAGACACATGCAACTTGCAAGACAGAATCAGAAACTCTGAACAGAGCAAAAACAAGTAAGGAGATTAAATCAGTGATAAATCTACCATCAGAGAAAAGCCTAGGACCTGACAACTTCACTGCTGAATTTGATGAAACATTTAAAGAGGAAATACCAGTTCTTCTCGATCTCTTTCAAAAAACTGAAGTAGAGGAAATACTCCCAAACACATTTCACAAGGCCAGCATTACCGTGAACCCATTGCCTGAGGAGAGCACTACAAAGAAAAAAAAATTACAAACCAATATCCCTGATGAACATGTATGCAAATATACTCAACAAAATACTAGCGAATTGAATTCAACAGCACATTTAAACAATTATTTACCATGATCAAGCAGGATTTATCACAGGGATACAAAGATGGTTCAACTTATACAAATCTGTAAATGTGTGATCCACCGTATTAACAGAATGAAAGACAAAAACCATCTCATCATCTCAATAGATGCAGAGAAAGCATTTGACAAAATTTAACATTCCTTCATGATTAAAAACTCTCAAAAATTAGGTATAGAAGGAATGTACCTTAACACAATAGAGGCCTTTATAGGACAAACCCACATCTAACATCATACTCAGTGGGGAAAAAAATTGAAAGCTTTCCTTTTAAGATCAGGAATAAGACAAGGATATCCACTCTTGCCACTTCTATTTAACATAGTACTGGAAGTCCTAGCCAGAGCAATTAGGCAAGAGAAAGAAATAAAAGACATCCAAATTAGAAAGGAAGAAGTTAAATTGTCCCTGTTTGTAGATGACATAATCCTATATATAGAAAACCCTAAAAAACTCACCAAAAATCAAAACTGTTAGAAATAAAAAACAATTTCAGTACAGTTGCAGAATACAAAACAACATACAAAAATCAACATACAAAAGCTAGCATTTCTATACACTAATGGCAACCTAACCAAAATAAAAAATTTTAAAGATCCCATTTACAGTAGCTACAAAAAATACTTAGAAATAAATTTAACCAAGGAGGTGAAAGGTCTGTATACTGAAAACTATTAAACACTGATGAAAGAAATTGAGGAAGACACAAATGGAAAGATATCCTGTGTTTATAGATTGGAAGAATTAATATTATTAAAACATCCATACCCCCCCAAAGTGATCTACAGATTCAGCGCAATCTCTATCAAAATCCCAATGACATTTTTCACAGAAATAGAAAAAAAAAACCCTTAAAATTCATATGGAAGCACAAAAGGCCCCAAATAGCCAAAGCAATCTTGAGCAAAAACAAAACTGGAGGCATCATACTACCTGACTTTAAAAATATACTACAAATATATAGCAATCAAAACAGCATAGTACTGGTGGAAAAACAGACATATAAACCAGTGGAACAGAATAGAGAGGGCAGAAATAAATCCACACATTTATAGTCAATTAATTTTTGACAGACGTGCCTAGACACATAATGAGGAAAGGATAGTCTCTTCAATAAATGGTGTTGGGACAACTGGATATCTACATGCAGAAAAATGATAGGAGGCCCTTATCTCATACCACATACAAAAATCAACTAAAAATTGATTGAAGACAAACATAAGATGTGAGACTCTAAAACTTCTAGAAGAAAACATATGGGGAATGCTCCATAACATTGGTCTGTGCAATGATTTTTTGGATATGAACCCCCCCAAAAGCAAAAAGACAAAAATAGATAAATAAGATTACATGAAACTAAAGAACTTCTGCACAGCCCCCCCCAAAAAAAATCAACAGTGAAGAGACAACCGATAGATTGGGAGAAAATATTTGCAAACCATACTTCTGTAAGTGGTTGATATAAAAAATACATCAGGAACTCAACTCAATAGCAAGAAAACAAATAACCCAATTAAAACATGGAGAAAGGACCTTAATAGACATTTCTCAAAGGAAGACACATTGCCAACAGGCATATGAAAACTTGCTTAATGTCATTTATCATCAGGCACATGCAAATCAAAACCACACCTGTTAAAATGGCTGCTATCAAAAAGGCAAAAGATAACAGGTGTTGGCAAGAATGTGGAGAAAAGAGAATCCTTGTACGTTGTTGGTAGGAATGTAAATTAGTGCAGCTGTTTTGTACAGCAGTTCCTCAAAAAACTAAAAAGAGCACTATCATATGATCCAGCAATCCCACTTCTGGGTATATGTTCAAAAATCGGGCTATTGAAGAGATACCTGCACTCTCATGTTCATTGCAGAATTACTACTAAAGTAGCTGAATCAACCTAAGCGTCTATCAGCAGATGAATGGATAAAGAAAATATTACAACTGCACAATGAAATACTATTCAGTCTTTTAAAAAACAGAAATCCTGTCATTTTCGATGTCGATGAACCTGGAGGGCATTGTGTTAAGTGAAATAAGCCAGGCGCAGAAAGACAAATACTGCACGATCTCACTTAAATGTGAACTCTAATAAACGTCAAACTCATCAAAGCAGAGAGTAGAATGGTAGTTACCAGGGGCTAGGGGAGGAGATGGGAGGTAGGAATGGAATTAGAGAGATGTTTGTCAAAGGACACAAAATTTCAGTTAAACAGGAGGAATAAGGTCAGATCTACTGTGCCGTATGGTGACTACAGTTAATAATAAGTGTATTCTGTACTTTATAGTTGCTAAAAGAGTAGACTTAAGTGTTCCCATCACACACACACACTAAGTAATAGATACGTTAATTAGCTCGAGTTAACCATTCCACAATGTATGCATATATGAAAACATCATGTTGTACATCATAAATATATACATTTTGTACTTGTCAACTAAAAAAATTGTAAAAACCAGTATTTAATGCTCATCTCAAAATATAAAAAGCCTGTGATGCAAAGGGTTTCTATGGTGTAGTCGTTACCACGCTGGCCTAACACATGGAAGGTCCTCTATTTGAAACTCAACGGAAACAACAGGTTTCTCTGGTCTCCCAGAATCTGACCGGGAGTGGCCGCTTCTTCCCGGGAGTCCAGAGCTGCAAGGAACAAGTGATAATCCCGCCTCTTTTAAAAGAAAGATCGTCATCCTGGGATAGCTGTGCCAAATTAGCAGGCCGCTCTGGGCGGGCGCTCCCCAGCTGGGACGTGCTCGCTTCTCTCCCTGAAAATCTGGAACGTGAAATCTTACAGCACCAGACTTTTCCAGTGTCCACTTTCTCCTGGTTACGTTTTCCCCTCTCCCTCGCAGAGGAATAGCCATCATGCCCTTGCCCTTGGCCATTTTTGAGTAGACTCGCCTTAGGTCGAGTCCTGGTTCCCCACTAATAATCGAGACATTTCCTTTGTTCCGAGACGCAAGAAATGGTGGGTAGTCGCGCACATCTACTCCTGAATAAAGGAAAGGGCAGAAAGTTTTGCGGTAGGTGACGAGTGAGCGCAAGTGGTAGAGTACTCGCTTAGCATGTGAGAGGTAGTGGGATCGATGTTGTCACTTGGGGCCGCATGTCCATACAGTACAACGTGGAGAACGGCTTCATTAGTCACCTGTCGAAGAAAACGAGGAAGTACCAGCCATCTTGAATGCTTCACTGGTAAAAGACCTATGGGCATAAAGAAACAGTGCTAATAATAGCCCCTAAAACGTTCAGTGGACAGTACCCATTTTCTAAGTTGTTTTCTCTTTATTCAGAGGAAAGAGGAGATCCCAAGAGGGTGGGATATACCCAATTGTTCCTTTTCTCTCCTTCCTGCAGCTTGACCCAAAATGCCAAAATGCAGCACAGCTCTGGAAAATGCAGGGCAGAGCAGGATGAGTAAAACCCCAGCTTTCTTTCTGGTCAGGGCGCTGTAAAGTGGAGTTCCGAGTCACCGGGAAGTCCTGCTGAGAGTGTGGAAAGCAAACCCACAAGTGGTTTGTCAACTCACCGAGTGCACCCCTGAGTTGCGAATATGTAGCTGTAAAGAGCAAAACCAAATACAGAAAGCTTATTTTTTCCCAATTTAAAAACATGTTTTGTGATTCTACTTTAGACATCTTGAATAGGCAAATTCATGTAGACAGAAAGAATAGAGGTTGTTGGGGAGAGGGAAATGTGGAGTTATTGTTTAATGGGTACAGAGTTGCTGTTTGGGATGCTGAGAAACTTCTGGAAATGGGTAGTGGTGATAGTTGCTCACATTGTAAATGTACGTAATGCCACTAAATTGAACACTTAGAATTTTAAATGTAAAATGGGTTAAGTATATTTTACCACAATAAGAAAACACAAACTCTTGTTCATTCTGTAATTTAGCACATAGTCTCATCATCTGTTTTTCTCCACACCAGCTCATCTGTTCATCCTTCTATTCATTTGACAAATACTTAGAAATGTCTAGATTTATTGTTCCATTCATCAGACATTAATTCAGGATCTCTTGTGTGCCACAGTGTCAAGACTTCTCCCTCAAATGTTTACACCAATGTCTTGACAAATACCATAGATCTTTCCTGCACAGCCTCTCCAGAATGTTTTTCTTACCTTTCACTCATGTTTCTCTTGCCCATTCTACCACGTTTATGGAGGACGTAGTCTGCACCACAAAGTATAATGGGCACTGGAGCTACGGAAAGACTCATGCTGTTCACTTCAGAAGCTGACGGAATAAATGTGAATAAACCTCAATTCTTTAATCTATTTATAACTTCTTTCCATTTCTCTTCAATTACAGTCTTCCTGTTCCCAAGCTCTTTGACATCCAACACTAAACACCTTTTTCTTAAATGTTAATTTGGTTATGTAAGCTGTCTGCAATTTTTTCAAGGGTTCTTAAGTCTCAATGTTTTCCCAATCATTATCTCCATGTGCACAGGCATTTCAATCACTACTTCCTTTCATTTTATAAACAGGCACACACACAAGCAGGCACATATGCACTTGTGCACTACACATCCCAAGTGAACAGGCATGTTTCCTCACACAGGAATTCCTACATCTATGCCTGTTCCTTCAAACTCATGTGCATTCTTCCTCATCTGCATCCTTCAAGGTTCATATTTATCCCTTTACTACAAACTGATCTTTTAATCCCCATGGTTCTTGTCTGTAATACTTTTGTGATTTTTGCTGTTTTCTTATGTGATGTGAATATGTGAGTTCTATATGATGTAACTTAAAAAGACTTGAATATAAGTATGTGTATATATATATATATATAAATCTAACATAAATATATCCTATATATCTTAGAAATCTAAGATATATACATACCTTGAATATCTTAGATATATCTATCTTAGATTTAGGAAGTCTGAGGGTTTCCTCAGTGTAGTGTAGAGGTTATCTCACTCACTTGCCTAACACGAGATGAGGCCCTCAGATAGAAAGACAGATGTTATATAATTATAAAGCGTCTATTCACCGAAGGGACACAACTGTCCTAAATATGTCTGTTTCTGGCCACAGAGCTTCAAAACTTATGAACAAAATGGATAAACCAGAAAGAAAATAGAAAAATCCAATTACAGTTGCAGACGTTAACACTCCTCTCTCAGTAATTGATAGATTCAGGAGAAAACAAATCAGCAAACATTTTAGAGAACAGAACAACACCATCCACCAATGGATCTAATAGACTTTATAAAGCAAAATCACAATTTATGTAGAAAGGCGAGCCAAAAAAATCAAAGAAAAGCAAGATCATATTATAAGTAGGAAATCACGAATGGTCAGAGTGCAGAAAAGTGACATTATTGAAACTGATATTTCTGAAACAGTTACTTAAATAGCAGGAAGACCGATAACGGCGAATCTGTAAGTGAATCTTTCCTTGTCCATATGTATCCTGCTTTTTCTTGAGGTCTGGGCTGGCCAAATGTCTCCTGAAATTCCTGGGCCTACTACAGTGTCTGGCACAGAGCATCTCTCCAGCAAATATGTACTGAATGAGTAGAAAGGAACTGACGGATTCAGAAGAGACCTGCAAGAATAATGTTCAGTATTTGGCAAATCACTGAATGTGGTGTTTGAAGGAGGACAATGAGTCAAAGTTGACTTGGAAATCTAGGCCCAGGAGGAGGTTGAGAATTAGATATGTGGTATATGAATGAATGGACTACTGTGGAGAAAAACAGGCAGAGAGATAATGAGCAGGAGCAGAGAAAAGACTCACCTTTTGGAATCTAAAATAAATGTGCTTGTCAGTTCAGGCTTTGCCACCTAGCATCTCTGGCACCTTAGAAACAATAATTATCTGAGCCTCCAGTACATCTAGAAAGTGCACATTAGGATACATCGTTTTGTTAGCGAAATTCAACTGGACTACGTAAACGCAAGAAATCTCGTAGTATACTTAATAGCACACAAGAAAAAACAAAGGGGTAAAAAACAAAGAGGGTGCCATTATAAGTATTTTGTGTTTTTTTTTGTAGCGGCAATGTCTTCAGTCATGTAGATGCAAGTGGAGATATGAAGGAAGACAGTAGTATGATCAAGAGACAGGTTTGATGGCTATTTCTTCATTCATTTATCCAGGTGGTCAGTGAACTATCATGAACTGAGAACCTCCTGTCTCTTTTCAACAGAGGAGACTATGGAAAGTGTAAGAGTGACTAAGGTTTCTGAGGGAAGGAAAAGGGAAAAAGAGCAGCAAAAGACAGGTACAATTGATCCTGGTAACGCAGAACCCAGACGGTCCTATGAAATACTGGAAAGGCGTAGACTCCTCTGGTCGTGGGTATGGAATCTTCCTAGTGCAGCGTTGATTGATACAGAGTAATTTTCAAGTAGGATTGATTGTAGTTTTTGAAAGCTGAAACCGTAACGTAGGTGGGAAATACACTTCGACAAAATGGATGTTGCCCGAGCTCAACAGCAAGCCCTCTTAGCGCAGCTGGCAGCGCGTCAGTCTCATAATCTGAAGGTCCTGAGTTCAAGCCTCAGAGAGGGCATCACTTCTGCCAAAGAAGTTGGATACACTAAATATCGGAACGCAACGCAAATGCTATAGCAGATAAGGATTTGAAGACTGACCCAATATTTGTAGAAAATGGAAATATAATTTAGGTTTTCTTGTTTTTTCGACTTTCCAGTGGTTTGAGTAAAATGAGTGGTGAAAACAGAAGAGTAGATTACACCAGAAACTACAAGCTATGTCATATAATTGGTCTTTCTAGCTGACACAGGAAGCAGGGGAAATTTCTCTTCCAACTTCCCGCTCTCAGGGTCACCTCACACTAATTATTGGGTGGATGGGTGAAGTCATTTATTCTTTTAATCATCCAACAAATATTTCTTGAACACATATCTTGTTAAGAGACTGGGGTCAAGAGTGAATACAACGCAAACATTCCTACCACTGTGAAACTACATCCTACTTGGGAGGAGTGGGGTGAAAGTGTATTCAGCACAAATATTCCTACTATTGCGAAACTACATCATACTTGGGAGGAGTGGGGAGAAACAGACAGGAAACAATCAAAAATATGTAAGAAGTGATTTGACGATGTCTACTGTGAGGGAATCGCTAGGCAGTAAAGGGTTTGGGAATGTGGAGGTGGCACATTCAGCTTTCAGGAGGACAATCAGGGACTCTGTCACCTTGACAACTTTAGCCTTGCCTTCTTCTAGCCATCTTGCTGGAACACTTGTGCCCGTGTTTTTCTAACACTGTCATAAGAGTACTTTTACCTATCAAGGCAACTGGGGGTTAGGAGAGCTTTTTGCCCAGAAGGCTAGTTGGCTTCCTTGGAAAACTGATGATACATGAGGACTGGGGTTGTCAATCCCTCACATGTTTCTTCATATGAAAAATGAGGACTGTGGGATTCTCTGGCTGGATCTCAGCACCTAGAGATGGATCTGGGCAATAGGAACTGCTCAGTATTAGCTACCGCTTTGGTTGCCTTCTCCTTGTGGAAAGCTGGCCTCTCACACTGAATTTGTATCATAGGCACTCATGAGGGTCTTGACTACATCAATATCTGATGGGAGACTTTAGGGCAGTTCTGTTGTCGTAGCTGATTTGCTCATTTGGTAGCTAGCATCCAGCTTCTTGTGAACATTAAAATAAAATAAAATAAAATAATAAAATAAAATAAAATAAAATAGATTATGGAGGAATAGAATACAGATACATACTAAGGCATAATTTTCCAGACAAAATGGATTTGGATAAAAGAATCTAATTAAGAATTTGTGCATGGTTCTTTTAAAATTCCTTTGATTTTTTTTTTTTTTTTTGGCCTGTTTTTCAAGTGTCCAATTTTTGTCACCCTTCTCCCATCAGGTCAGAGAGATAGCCAATGGTCAGAAGCAATCTTCCAGCAACTGCCATAGCGCTTTCTCCTGCCTGCAGATGCCTCTTTTTAGTCAGCCTTTATGGGAAGTAGCAGCACCATCCGTTCCCAGAGAGCAAGCTCTGGAGTAGCTGAGCTAACCCCAGTTGCTAATCTGAGCTAATCCCAGTTACCCCAGTGGATTTACAGATTGAGGGTAGAACCCAGCAGGGTTCTCTTCTTGGAAAGAATAGGCTTCCCTCTAAGGTTTCACATAGATACTGGGTGAGGAAACAGCCCTAAATGGCTTCAGAAATTGAATGTTCTTTGGGCAAAGCAGGAAGCCCTGCTGTGGAAGAGCATCATTTGAGCATAAATCAGGTTATCAGGACAAACAGAGTGTTCAGGAGGTCTAGATGGTTAAGCAGAGAGCCTCATCAGAATATCCGTGGTGAAGAGAAACAATCTTGTTGGGAGAAGGATAACCGTAACTGGGGACTTAGAATAAAGGCTAAAAATGATTCAAAGAGAATGCAAAAAGAATCAGGCACAAATCTTTACTATATTCTGTTGTGCAAATCTCACCTTACTATGTGTTTATATTCTATTCCTCCACAATCTTTATTTTATTTTTATGTTCACAGAGACTTGCTGGTTCCAACTAAATGAGCACAACAGCCAGTGACAACAGAACTGCACTTAAATAGTCCCTCATCAGCTCTTGAGAGCAGATTCCTTAAAGGTGAACAATATTCCACATACAAGGACTTTTCAGCAGTATGCATTAGAAATGGAACTGAATGTTTATTATTCTTTATATAAGTTGGTTGATACGACTTTTCAGCTTCCCTCAGTAACATTATCTAAATTTTGTAGATGACAGTAAAGCTCAGAGGAGTTAAACCATTTTCCTCAAATCACGTAGCTTTAAACAGGAAAACCAGATATGAAAAGCAGATTTCTTTCTAAATTAAAAAACAAAAACAAAAAAACTTGAGCTCTTGCTTTACCCTAGCACATAGTCTCGCCATCTGTTTTCTCCACACCAGGTCATTCATGTAACATTCATTCACATAACAAATACAAATAAATGAGCGGATTCATTCATCAGATATTAATTCAGAATCTCTTTTGTGTCTACCACACTAGGCTCAAGACGTCCCAGTGTCTTTGTCTCCTCTCCCTCAAATCTCTCCACCCAATATCTTGACAAATAAAGTAGATCCTTCCTGTACAACGTCTCCAGAATCTTTTCTTCCTTTTCTTTCACCTCTGTCATCATTCATGCTACAGTGTTTACGGAGGATGTGTTCTGCAGCATGAAGTGTCGTGGGCACTAGCTCTGCAGAAAGACTTCTGCTGTCCACCTCAGGTGCTGACATGATAAATGTGGGTAAACCTCAATCCTTTAATATCTTTATGACTTCTTTCCCTTTCTCCCCAGTTCCTGTTTTCTCATGTTCAAGCTCTGACATTCAAAACTAAACACCTTTCTCTAACATGTTGCTTTAATTATTTAAGCATTCTGCCTGGGATATTTTCAGTTAGTCATGGGATTTTTCATAAAACTCTCCCAATATATCTCCAAGTGGCCAGGCTTTTCAATCACTGCTTCCCTCCATGTGTATTTCACACACACACACACACACACACACACACACTCTCCACTTAAATTGAACAGGTTTATTTCTTTACACAAGAATTCTTACAAACAGCCCGGTTTTCTCCACCATATGTCCACTCCTTCTCTGCATAGCTCAATTTTGATTCTTACACTATATTTTACATATTCTTACACTCTGATACGATCTTGTCTCTTATTCTTTATGGCTCTGCTCTGTAATTTTGTTGTTGTTGTTCTGAAATATAGTTGGACATGTAACTTGTACATGACACACCTTAGCAAGGAGGCAACTCATATCTCAGATGTAAGTGAAAGAAGCACTCTCCAGGGGTTTCCTATGGGAGTGGTCAGCACGCTGGCCTCATTGGTGGAATGGCCTAGTTACGAAAACAGCAGGAGCTTTTTGCCTTCCAGAAATCTGGACCATCTCACAACCCCCAGACAGTCTCAGCTACAAGGAAAAGTGATAATTCCATCCCACTTTTATAAACACACACAAACACACACACACACACACACACACACACACACACACACACACACACAATCATTTAATCATTTTTAATCATTTAATCATTTTTTTAAAATCTCTGACACTTTAGCTGGGCAGGTCTAGACATGTCCTCCTTTGCTGGGATGTGCCTTTTTCTGTCCCGGAATACCCTAAACTTGACATTTTGGCAGCACGAGTTTTCCCTTTGTGACTTTCTCCTTGTTCCCTTTCTCCTCCTTCTTTGCAGAGAATGAGTAGCCACTGCGCCTTGCCCTGGGCCATCAGTGAGAAGACCTGCTCTTAGTAGAGCCCTGCTTTCCCGCTGAAGGCCTTGAAATCCCCTGTGTTCCAGGACACCCACTAAAGATCAAGAAAGCTCCCCTGACGTGGGGAATTAGCTCAAGCGGTAGAGCGCTTGCTTAGCATGCAAGAGGTAGTGGGATCGATGCCCACATTCTCCAAGCTTTATTATTTGGACCTTGGGTCTCCAAACACTCAAGTATCCAAACCCAAGTTAGTGTCTGAGAGCAGGATGCTGCTTTGGTTCAAGACATAGGAGCAGCAACAATACAGGCCTGGTGATGGCTCCCTCCTGGCATTCAGTATAGTGTAGATCTACTGTGTAATTCATTTGCTGTTTCCTCAAGGAGCTGTGAAACCAAGGGACATATACAACTGCTCTTTTCTCCCTGTTTCTGCCTGCAGCTTGGTCCTAAACCTCAGACAATCGTGAAATGTGCAGGGCAGAGCCACCTGGGTAAACACAGCCTCGGCTTTCTGCTCAGGGGACTGAAACCAGGATGTGTCAAGTAACTAGAATGTGCCTGGACAGATACTGTAGAAAGCAAACCCATAAAGTTGTTCATGAGCTTGTGGACACACCTGCCAGCTGTGAATAAGTGGCTCTAATCCCAAACAACTTACCTACAAAGAGCCTGAGAGCTGAACTGCGCAATGGCCCACTTTCCAGTCCTCACTGAAGTTGCACACACTCCGGAAATCTCTGAACAGTGGCGTAAAGGCTTTGCAAATAGAGTTATCTTTGAAACAACAACACGTGGAAGGCTGGTTGGTACTTGGAACTTGAATACAAGGCAATTTTGTGCCTGCAAAAACAAAAATAGCAATATTATTCTTAAGATTTCAACAAAACACAGTGTCTCATCACATAATCCAAAGAAGTCCAGGTTACAAGCCCCAAAATCTTCGGCATTATGAAAAAAACAGGGAGATCTTCATTCACATGGCAAAGAGACTCCTCGAATAACAATACTGAGAGGACACAGATGTCAAAATCATCTGACGCATACAGTGGAGCAGTTATGATAACAATGCTCCTAGAATTAGGGGATAACATTCGTGAAGTGAATGGAAAGTTGGAAAGTCTCAGCAAATATCTGGAATATATAAACACCAATTTTAAGCTTAAGAATTTAAAAAAATGTATTAACCAAAACTCTTAGGGGAAATAAAAAGCTTAACTGGATGATCTCGATAACAGAATGCAGATGACTAAGAAAAAGTCAACGAACTTGAAAACAGAACAAGAATACCTACATAATCTGAGCTATAGAGAGAAAGGAGTATTTCTGTAAATGAACAGAGGCTCAGGGACAAATTAAAAAATAGCAAATCTAACATTCACATTATTGTAATCTGAAAAGAAGAGGACAAAGAGGTCTTTGTGGGATAAAACTTTGAAGAATTAATGGCTGAAAATGTATCAAATTTGTCAAAAGATATAAACCAGGTTTTTAAAGTTCAGCAAAGGTCAAGCAGGATAAACCCAAAGAAACCCAACCCATTTCAAGACGTATCATAATCAAACTGCTGAAAACGAGGAAAGTACAAAACAATCTTGAAAGCAGTCAAAGGAAAATGAAAAAGAAACTACCATATGAATGAGTGTAGATTTCTCATCAGGAACCATAGCGGCCAGAAAAAAATGTCATAATGTTCAGTAAGTAACAAAAGAAAAAGACCTATCAACCCAGAATGCTATGTGGAGCAAAAGTATCTTTCAGACATAAAGGCAAATAAATGCATTCTCATTGGAAGGTAAGTCAATACATTCTCATTCTTAGCAAGAATGCTGGAAAAGAATTAGCAAAGATTTGAGATAAGAAAAGTGATACCAGAAGGAAACTTAGAACATCGTCAATGAAGGAACGAAAGCAGAAATAGAAAATGTCTGGGTAGACATAACAGACTGTTCTTCTTCTCCTGAGTTCCTTAAGGTATGTTTGATGATTGAAAGCCAAAATTGTAACTTTATCAGAAGCAGTTGTCATTGTATCGAGATGTACTACATAGATAAGATAAAAGGGTAAGTGTAATGGGCCTAACTCTTGATGAAGTTTCTATATTCAACTTGAATGGTAAAATATTGATTCTAAGTATACTGTGAAAAGTTATATACGTATATGGTAATCCCTAGACCACTTACTAACCAGATTGAAATAAACCAAAACAAGATAGACAGAGGAACATAGAAGAATTAAAACAAAGGGAACAAAGGTTAATACATTATTAAATAGATCTATCTAAAAACTTATCTATATTAACATTACACGTAAATGATCTAAATCCTTAATTAAAAACTAGAGATCATCAGAATGTATTAAAAGTAAATATGCTGACTGTAAGAAAGCCACCTGCAATACACTTATATATCAGAATAAAAGTTATATAGCAGATTGAAGGAAAAGAGTGGGAAAGATACCTCATGCAAGCATTAATCAAAGACAGCTGTGGTGTATACATTAAAATCAGACAAAGTAGATTTGAAAGCAGAGAAACTTTTCAGGAATAATGAAGGCTGCTAGATAATTACGAATGTCCATTCTCCAGGGAATACTGTTCCAAATGTATATGAGGACACAGATTTTCAAAACTCATAAACAAAATTAGATAAGCCAGGTAAAAATAGAAATATCCAATTTTAGTTGAAGACACTAAAACTCCTCTCTCAGTCATTGGTAGACTTAGTAGACAACAAATCAGCCAACATATTGGAGAACTGAACCACACCATCCACCAATGGATCTGATCAACTTCATAACGCAAAATAAAAATTTAGCCAGAAAGCAAAGACAAAAATTAAAAGAAAAGTAAGATCATGTTATAACCAGGAAATTAAGAGTGGTCCATCATATAGAAGGGTGCTATTATTGAAAGAGTTTGAAATAGTGACTTAGTTATTTTGAAAGAGTTTTGAAGGCATTATTTAGCTGGAAATGACAGAAAGACTGAAAATGGTGAATCTGGAGGTGGATCTTCCCTCATCTATATTTATCTTGTTTTCTTTTGAGGTCTAGGGTGTCTATACTTCCTCTGAATTACCTGATCCTACTACAGTGTCTGGCACAGAGCATCTCCCCAGTGAATATGTACTAAATGAGTGGAAAGTAATTGATAGATTCAAAAGAGTTGTGCAAGAATAATGTTCATTATTTGGCAAATCATTGAATGTGGTGTTTGATGGAAGACAATGAATCAAAGTTGACTTGAAAGGTAAGCCCAAGGCCAGACGTGGTGGCTCATTTCTGTAATCCCAGCACTTTGGGAGGCCGAGGTGGGCAGATCCCTTGACGCCAGGAGTTTGAGACCAGCCTGGGCAACCCAGTGAAATCCTGTCTCTACAAAAAAAAACAAAAATTAGCCGGGTGTGGTGGTATGCATCTGTAGTTCCAGCTACTCAGGAGGCTGAGGTGGGAGCATCACTGGAACCCGGGAGGCGGAGGTTGCAGTGAACAGAGATCACACCAGTGCCCTGGCAGTAAAGTGACACCTTGTCTTAAAATGAAATGAAATGAAATGAAATAAAATAAAATAAAATAAATAAAATAAAATAAAATAAAATAAAATAAAATATAAAAGTTAAGCCCAGGCCGGGCGCAGTGGCTCGCACCTGTAATCCCAGCACTTTGGGAGACCAAGGCAGGCAGATCACCTGAGGTCAGGAGTTTGAGACCAGCCTGGCCAACATGGTGGAACCCCGTCTCTACTAAAAATTCAAAAACTAGCGGGGCACCTGTAGTCCTAGCTACTCGGGAGGCTGAGGCAGAAGAATCACTTGAACCCAGGAGGCAGAGGTTGCAGTGAGCCAAGATTGTGCCACTACACTGCAGCCTGGGCAACAGAGTGAGACTCCAACTCAAAAAAATTTTTAAAAAAAATTTTTAAAAAGTTAAGCCCAAAAGGTAAGTAAAGAGGAGGTCTGGAATTAGATATTTGGTGTATGAGTGAATGAGCTAAAGTGCAAAAGAATGGGCAGAATAACCGTGAGCTGGAGCAGAGGGAAAAAAATCACATGCAAAATCTAAAAATATCTGCTTCTCAATTCGGGCTTTCCCACTTAGCAGCTTTGGCATTTAAAAAAAAAAAAAAAAAAAAAAACACTTGACCGGGCACGGTGGCTCACGCCTGTAATCCCAGCACTTTGGGAGGCCGAGGCGGGCGGATCAGGAGGTCAAGAGATAGAGACCATTCTGGCTAACACGGTGAAACCCTGTCTCTACTGAAAAAATACAAAAAAATTAGCCGGGCATGGTGGCGGGTGCCTGTAGTCCCAGCTACTCGGGAGGCTGAGGCAGGAGAATGGCCTGAACCTGGGAGGCGGAGCTTGCAGTGAGCCCAGATCGGGCCACTGCACTCCAGCCTGGGAGACAGAGCGAGACTCCGTCTCACAGAACAAACAAACAACAAACAACAACAACAAAAACGCACTTAGCCTATCTGATTCTCTATTACTTCTAAAAAGTGCATACTAAGGCATAATTTTGTTGGCAAAAGTCAATCAGACTACATCAAGTAAACTCCCTAAGTCTCCTAGTATAATTCACGGCACAAAAATATGAGGAAAAACAGGGAGGATATGATTAAAAGTTTAGTTTGTATTTTTTGTTGAGTGAATGTCTCCAGTCATAGAGATGCAAGTGTAGATACACAGTAAGAGTAGTATGAATGGCAGACACCTTGGAAGGCTATTTCTTCCTTCATTCATTCAGTTGGTCACTCAATGAACTATCATGAATTGAGCACTACCTCTGTTTCTTATCAACAAAGGAGACTACGGAAAGGAAGAATGACTAAGATCTCTGAAGAAGGGAAAAGCTAGATGACTGGGCCACAAGAGGAAAAAAAGCAGCAAGACAGGTACAATTGTGTCTGGTCCCTCAAGCCAGAAGGTCCTATCATTATGTGAATACTGGAAACGGGTGGACTCCACCTGTCCTGAGTGGGGAATTCTTCCAGTGCAGCATTGACTGATAAGGAGTGATTTCCAAGTAGCATTGATTGTGTTCTTTAAAAGCTAGGAATTGATAAAGCAGCAGTGCGTGGGAAATGAGATTTAATAATCTGGATGTCACCTCTTAGGAACAGTTGCTCTCTTAGAGCAGCAGGCCACCTGTCAATCTCGTATTCTGAAGGTCCTGAGTTTGAACATGAGACAAGGCACAGCTTATGCCGCTATTTCCATTAAGAGAAATGAAATAGGTGTGATAAATAATGGAACACAAATGCTATGAGATAATGATTTCAAGACAGACCAAATATTAGCTTAAAATTTAAAAGTGAGTTTTCTTTTCTTTTCTTTCTTTCTTTTTCTCTTTCTTTCTTTCTTTCTTTCTTTCTTTCTTCCTTGCTTCCTTCCTTCCTTCTTTCCTTCCTTCCTTCCTTCCTTCTTTCCTTTCCTTTCTCTGTCTGTCTTTATTTATTTTTTCCTTCTTTTGGCTTCTCAGTCGCTTGAGTACAAGGCGTGGTGAAGGCATATAAATTACACCAGAAACTGCAAGCTATGTCTTATGTCTACCTCTCTAGCTGACAGGGGAGGCAGGGGAAATTTCTCTTCCAATTGCCTGCTCTGAAGGTCATCCAAACATAATTATGGGGTGGGGTGGGTAAAGTCTTTTATTCTTTTAAGCGTCCAACCGATAGTTCTCAACACATATCTTGTTAAGAGACTGTTTTGGGTATAGCAATTCGCAGTGAATAAAATACAGATATTCTCACCTTTGTGATACTACGTCAATGTTGGGGGGAGTGGGGAGAAAGAGACAGAAGCAAAAAAGAAAAATAAACAAGAAGTCATGTGATATTATCTACTGGGAGGGAGTCATTAGGCAGTAAAGGACTCGGCAGTGTGGAGGTGACACATTCACTTTTCAGGAGAAGAATCAGGGAAGTTGTCACCTTGAAGATATCATTTAGCTTCCCTTTCTTCCAATAGTCTTTCTTTACATGGGAAATGAGGACTCTAGGATTCTCCGGCTGGATCTCAGCACCTAGAGATGGATCTGGGCAATAGGAACTGCTCAGTAAGCATTACCTACTGCTTTGGTTGCCTTCTCCCTGGCCTCTTGGATTGAGCTTGCATCATACGTGTTCAGTAGGAACTTGCTTAGTGGATTTACAGGTTGAGGTTAGAACTCACCGGGATTCTCTTCCTGGAGAGAACAGGCTTCCCTCTAAGGTTTCATATAGACCCCGGGTGAGGAAAGAGCCCTAAATGGCTTGAAAAATTGAATGCTCTTTGGGCAAAGCAAGAAGCGCCACTATGGAAGGGCATCATTTGGGCCTATATCAGGGTCTCAGTACAAAGATGAGTGCTCACGTGGTCAAGATGGTTAAGCAGAGAATCTGACCAGAATGTTCACGGTGCAAAGAAATAATCTTGTTGGGAGAAGGATCACAACAATTGGGGAATTAGAATACAGGCTAAATGAGACTCAAAAATAATACAACAAGAATCAGGCACAAATCCTTTACTACTACATTCTTTTGTACAAATCCATTTTGCCTAGAAAATCATACCTTACTATGCATCCCTATTGTGTTTCTCCACCATCTATTTTACTTTTTAAACTTTATTTCATTTTTATCATCACAGAAGCTTATTGCTACAAAACAAATGAGCAAATCAGCCAATGGCAACAAAACTGCACTGATCTCTCTCCTTAGACCTTCAGAACATTTTCCTTAAAGGTGAACAATACTCCACGTTCAAGAATTTTTCAGCTCTATGTGCTAGAAACTATACTGACTGTTTATTAATTTTTATGTAAGTTGGTCGATATAGTTTTTCAGCTTCCCCAAGTATTATTACCCTAGTGTTACAGATGACACTGAAGCTCAGAGCAGTTAAACCATTTTCCTTAGATCACATAACTTTAAAGAGGGAAACCAGATATGAGAAGCAGATTTCTTTCTCAATGAAAAAAATCACAAGCTCTTGCTTTAGTCTAGCACATAGTCTTATCATCTATTTTCTTCACACCAGCTCACTCATGTAACATTCATTCATTTACCAAATACAGATAAATGAGTGGATTTATTCTTGCATCGATCAGATATGAATTCAAAATCTCTTCTGTGTCTGCCACACCGGGCTCAAGACTTGCCAGTGCCTTTGTCTCCTCTCCCTCAAATCTCTCCACCCAATGTCTTGACAAATACTGTAGATCCTTCCTGCATAAACTCTGCAGAATCTTTTTCTTCTGTTTTACTCACCTCCTTCTTTATCCATGCTATGATGTTCATGGAGGATGTTTTCTTCACCATGAAGTGTGAAGGGGATTGAAGCTGCAGAAAGACTCATGCTGTTCACCTCAGGAACTGACACAGTCAATGTGGATAAATCTCAATCCTTTAATATCTTTATGACTTCTTTCTCTTTCTCCCCAGATCCAGTTTTTCCATTTTCAAGTTCTTTGACATTTAAAACTAAAAACCTTTCCCTAAAATGCTGCTTTTCTACCTGGAATTTTTTCAATGAGTCTTTAGCTTTTATAATATTCTCCCAACATATCTCCAAGCATCCAGGCTTTTCAATCACTACTTCCCTCCGTGTATATTTTACACACACACACACACACACACACACACACACACTCCACTTAAATTGAACAGGCATATTTCTTTACACAGGAATTCCTACAAACATTCCACCCTATACCTACCCTAGGTTTTCTCCACCCTATGTCCACTCTTTCTCTGCATTGCTGAATGTGTTTTCTTTATTCTTTCACTCTGATATGATCTTTGTCTCTTATTCTTTATGCCTCTTATCTGCATTTTTTTGTTATTATTGTTCTGCCATGCAGTTGGATATGTAACTTTTACATGACACACCTTAGCAAGAAGACAACACATGTCTCAGATGTAAGTAAGAAAAACACTCTCCAGGGATTTCCTGGTGTAGTGCTCAGCACCCTGGCCTCATTCCTGAAAGTCCCTCGGTGTGGAAAAAGCAGGAGCTCTTTGCCTTCCAGAAATCTGCATCATCCCACAGCCTCAGCTACAAGAAACAAGTGACAATGCCATCTCTTTTCTTTTAAAAAAATCATTTAAGCTTCCTGAGATATCTGTGACACATTAGCTGGGCAGGGTCCTTCTGTGGGACATGTCATTTTCCGTCTCGGAATATGTGAAACTTGACATTTTGGCAACACCAGAGTTTTCCCTTTGTGACTTTCTCCTTGTTCCCTTTTCTCCTCCCTCCTCACAGAGAATAAGTACCCACTGCACTCTTGCCCTGGGCCATCAATGAGAAGATCTGCTCTTAGTGGAGCCCTGCTTTCGCGGTGAAGGCCTTGAAGTCGCGTGTGTTCTAGACTGCCCACTAAGGATGAAAAAAGATGCTGTGAGATGAAGAAGTAGCTCAAGTGGTGGAGTGCTCGCTTAGCATGTGAGAGGTAGTGGGATTGATGCCCACATTCTCCAGGTTTCACTAGTCGGACCTCAGGTCTCCAGGTTACAGTGGAAAAAAATATGTGTTAGACACTGATCTCAGAAAACAGTAAGTTAGACACTCATCTCAGTAGCAGCCTGGACACTTCTTTGGCTCATTATGTAAGGGCAGCAACAATACGGGCTTGACTAAGATTCTACTGGTATGTGGTATAGTATAGATCTATCGATGTGTAATTAGTTTTCTGTTTCTTTGAGGAGCTGTGATACAAAGGGACATATCCAGTTGCACTTATTCTCCCTGTTTCCTCCTGCAGCTTGGTCCTAAATGCAGCATAATTATGGAAAGCGCAGGGCAGAGCCACTCAGGTAAATACAGCCCCAGCTTTCTGATCGGGAGACCGAAACTAGGAGTTGCCAAGTAACCAGGAAAGACACTGTGGAGAGCAAACCTGTCAAGTTGTATGTGAACTCCTGGATGCGCCTGTGAGCTGTGAATAAGTGGCTCTGATCAAAGACAACTTATCTAAAAAGAGCCTGAGAATCGAACTAAGTGATAGCCTACTTTCCAGTCCTCACTGGCCACTGGGTTGCACATACTCCAGAGTCTCTGAATAGCAGTGTTAAGGCTTTGAAAATAGAATCGACTTTGAAACTACAACACACAAGGCTGGCTGGTTATTGGAACTTGAACACAAGGCAATCACATGCCTGCAAAAACAAAAATAGCAATATTATCCTTAAGATTTCAACAAGACACAGTGTCTCATCACATAATGCAAAGTACAACCCCAAAATATTCAGCATATGAAGAACCAGGGCAATCTTAATTCACTTGGCAAAGAGAATCCTCGAATAACAATACTGAGAAGACACAGATGTTACAATCATCTGACACATACTTTTAAGCAGTTATTACAACAATGCTCCATGAATGAAAGGATAACACTCTTGAAGTGAATGGAAAGTTGGGAAGTCTTAGCAAGTATCTGGAAGCTCTAAACACTGATTTTAAACTTAAAAATTAAAAAATGTATTCATCAAAACTATTAGGAGAAAAAAAACTTCAATGGGTTATTTCAATAACAAAATTGAGACACTCAGAATAAAGTCAATGAACTTGAAAACAGAACAAAAATACCAACCTAACCTGAACAATAGAGAAAAAGGAGTGCTTTTGCAAATGAACAGAGCCTCCCGGACAAACAGAAAAATAAGAAAAATCTAACACATCATTGTAATCCTGCAGGAAGAAGAGAAAGAGGTCCTCCAGAAAGAAAACTCCGAAGAATTAATGGCTGAAAACATATCAAATTTATCAAAACACTTAGAAGTTCAATAAATGTCAAGTAGGTTAAACCCAAAGAAATCCATACCCAGACACATCATAATCAAACTGCTGAAAACTAAGGAAAACCATAAAAATCTTGAAGGCAGCCAAATGAAAATAAAAGGGAAACTGCCACTTGAATGACTGTGGACTTCTCATCAGAAACCATAGGGGCCCAAGGAAACATTTACTAAATACCAAAAGAAAAGACCTGTCAACCCAGAATGCTATGTAGAGCAAAAATATCTTTCAGACTAAAGGTAAATAAATACATTCTCACAGGAAGGTAAACTGAGAGAATTCATTGCTGGTAGAACTGCTGGACAAGAATTAGCAACGATTTAAGATGAGAAAAATGATACCAGAAAGAGACAGGACACCATCAGTGAAGGAACGAAAGCCGAAATAGAAAATGTCTGGGTAGACATTACAGACTATTATTCTTCTCTTGAGTTCCTTAAGGTATGTTTCATGATTGAAAGCAAAAATTGTAACTTTATCTGATGCAGTTGCCATTGTATCTAGATGTGCTACATACATAACATAAAAGGGTAAAGGTAAAGGGCCTAACTGCTGATGAAGTTTCTATATTCAACTTGAATGGTAAAATATTGATTCTACGTATACTGTGAAAGGTTATATATGTATATGGTGATCCCTAGACCACTTAGGAACCAGATTTAAATAAACCAAAATAAACTAGGAAGAAGAACATAGAAGAATTAAGACAAGGGGAACAAATGATTAATAAATTATTAAAAAGTAGATCTATCGGCTGGGCACGGCGTCTCACGCCTGTAATCCCAGCACTTTGGGAGGCCGAGGTGGCTGGATCACCTGATGTCAGGAGTTTGAGACCAGCCTGGCCAGCATGGTGAAACCCTGTCTCTACTAAAAATACAAAAAATTAGCCAGGCATGAAGCCGGGTGCCTGTAATCCCAGCTACTTGGGAGGCTGAGACAGGAGAATCACTTGAACCTGGGAGGCAGAGGTTGCAGTGAGGGGAGATTGCACCATGGCACTCCAGCCTGGGTGGCAAGAGCAAGACTCCATCTCAGAAAGAAAAACAATAGATCTACCTAAAAACTTATCTATAAAAACATTAAATGTAAATGATCTAAAACAATGAATTGAAAACCAGAAATTGTCAGAATGTATTATAAATGAATATGCTGACTACAGGAAAGTCACTAGTAATATACTTATATGTGAGATTAAAAGTTATATAGCATATTGAAAGTAAAGAATGGGAAAAGATATGTCATTTAGGCATTACTCAAAGAAAGCTGTGGTGGATATATTCAAATCAGACAAACCAGATTTTAAATTGTAGAAAACTTCCAGGGATAAAGGGGGCTGTTACATAATTAGAGGTGCCAACACACCAGAGAAATAATGTCCCAAATGCATATAAGGACACAGGGCTTCAAAACTCGTAAGCAAAATTGGATAATCCAGATAAAAATAGAAAAATCCAATTACATTTGCAGACGTTAACAGTCCCCTCTCAGTAACTGATAGATCCAGTAGACAATAAATCAGTAAACACATTTGAGACCCGAACAACATCCATACAGCAATGGATCTAATCAATCAACTTTCTACAGCAAAATCACAATTTGGGTAGAAAGAAGAGAAAAAAAATAAAAGAAAAACAAGATCATGCTATAACTAGGAAATCAGGAATGTTCAGGGTGCAAAAGAGTGATATATTGAAACTGACATTTTTGAAAGGGTTATTTAGCTGTAAATGACATGACACGGAGACTGAAATCGTAAAACTGGACGTGGATCTTCCCTTCTCCATATTTGTCCTGCCTTCTCTTGAGGTCTGGGCTGCTTGAATCTTTAGAATCTCCTGAACTTACCACAGTGTCTGGCACAGAGCATCTTCCCTGTGAATGTGTACTGAATCAATGGAAAGGAATTGACAGGTTCAAAAATGTTGTGCAGGAATAATGTTTACTATTTCACAAATCACTGGATGTGGTGTTTGAAGGAGAAAAATGTGTCAAAAGTTGACTTGGAAACAAAGCCCAAAAGGTAAGTGAAGGGGATTTGGGGAATGAGATATTTGGTGTGTGAATGAATGGGGTGCTGTGGAGAGGAGTAGGGAGTAAGATTGTGAACTGGAGCAGAGAAAGAATCACGTTTTAAAATCTAAAACATCTTCTCCTCAGTTCAAGCTTTGACACTTAGCAGCTCTGGCACCTTGGAAACAAAACTTATCTGAGGTTCCATTACTTCTAGAAAGTCCAGATTAGGACACATAGTTTTGTTGGTGAAACTCTGTTGGACTACATGAAGTAAATTCAATAAATCTCTTAGTATAATTAATGGCATACAAGATTTGCTTTACACTTTTTGTAGCAGGATTGTCTCCAGTCGTGTAGATGCAAGAGGAGATAGAGAGTAAGACACAGTAGTATGGACAGGAGACACCTTTAAAGACTATTTTTTCATTCCTTCATTCGTTCAGTTGGTCAGTCAGTGAACTATTATGGACTGAACATGTCCTGTGTGTCTTTTCAAAAAAGGACACCATAGGAGGTGTAAGAGTGATTAAGATCTCTGAAGGAGGGAGAAGTCAGATCACTGGGCCACAAGAGGGAAAAAGTCAGCAAAACAGGTACAATTGTTCTTGGCCTCTTGCCTCAAGATGGTCGTCTTGTTAGATGAATACTAGAAATGGGTAGATTCCACCTGTCCTGAGGATAAAATTCTTTGGGTGCAGGATTGGCTGATAAAGAGTGATTTCCAAGCACCATTGATTGTGTTCTTTGAAAGTTAGGAACTGATAAAGCAGCAGTGCTTGGGAAAATAGCACGTGGGATGTCAATTCTTGGGTGAGAACCGCCCTCTTTCTGCAGCAGGCCACACATCAATCTCATAATCTAAAGGTTTTGAGTTTGAACATCAGAGAGGATACAGTTTTTGCTGCTATTTCAGTTGAGGGAAACAAAATGGGTGCACTAAATAATGAAATGCAAATGCTATGAGATAACAGTTTGAAGACTGACTCAACATTAGCTTAGAATGGAAAAGTGATTTCGGTTTTTTGGAGATTTTTTGTTGTTGTTTGTTTGTTTTTTGGCTTGTCAGTGGTTTGAGTAAAATGAGTGGTAAAGGGATATAGATTACAGAAGAAACTGCAAGCTATATCATATAATTGGTCTTTCTCACTAGCTGATGGAAGAAACAGGAAATTTTTTGTCGAGCTTTCTGCTCTCAAGGTTACCCAATTGTAATTATGAGGTGAGTGGGTGAAGTCATTTATTCTTTTATCCTACATGTATTTCTCGAGCACGTATCTTGTTAAGAGACTGTTCGGGGTACAGCCATTCAACAGTGAAAAAACGCATATATTCTTCACCTTTGCGAAGCTAGTTTCTAGTTGATAGGGGTGAAGAGAAACAGATCAGAAGCAAACAAGAAAAATACATAAGATGTTATGTGACAACGTCTACTGGGAAGGAATCCACAGGCAGTAAGGGACTTGGGAGTGTGGAGATGGCCCATTCAGAAGCTTTTAGGAGCGGAATCTGAGAAGTTGTCACCTTGAAGACATCCTTTACCCACCCTCCACCCCCTCCCCACTCCCCACTCCTGCTCCTTCCTTCAATCATCTTTCTTCACGTAGGAAATGAGGACTGTGGGATTCTCTGGCTGGATCCCAGCACCTAGAGAGGGATCTGATCAATAAGAACTGCTCAGTAAGCATTACCTATTGCTTTGGTTGCCTTCCCCTTGCAGCGTGCTGGCCTCTTGGATTGAGCTTGCATCATAGGTGTTCAGTAGGAGCTTGCTTAGTGGATTTACAGGTTGAGGTTAGAACCCACCGGGATTCTCTTCCTGGAAAGAACAGGCTTCCCTCTAAGGTTTCACATAGACCCCGAGTGAGGAAAGAGCCCTAAATTGCTTGAAAAATTGATTGCTCTTTGGGCAAAACAAGAAACCCTCCTATGGAAGGGCATCATTTGGGCATATATCGGGGTCTCAGTACAAAGATGAGTGCTCAAGAGGTCAAGATGCTTAAGCAGAGAATTTCACCAGAATGTTCGTGGTACAGAGAAACAGTCTTGTTGGGAGAAGGATGACAATTGAGGCCTTGGAATATAAGCTAAATAAGCTTCAAAGGGGATACAAAAAAGAATCAGGCACAAATCCTTTACTACATTATTTTGTACAGCTCAATTTTTGCCTAGAAAATCATACCTTACTTTGCATCCCTATTGTGTTCCTCCACCATCTATTTTGTTTTTTTAAGCGTTATTTCATTTTTATGTTCACAGAAGCTTGTTGCTACAACTAAATGAGCAAAACAGCCAGTAGCAACAGAAATGCGTTACTATCTCTCCTCAGACCTTGAAAGCATTTTCCTTAAAGGTGAACAATATTCCACATACAAGGAGGTTTTCAGCACTATGTGCTAGAAATTATACTGAATGTTTCTTAATTTTTACGTAAGTCGGTCAATATAGTTTTTCAGCTTCCCCAAGTATTATTACCCCAGTGTTATAAATGACACTGAAGTAAAGGGCATATCACTCTCTTTATTCTGTGTAGGTGTGTCTGCTTACAGCTAAGGATTTCCTAAATTATAGTTTTGTAAACATTAGTTCTAAATCATTGTGATCACTTGAATTTTGAAAATGTCAAAACCAATCACATTAATGTAATAGAAAATAGAGGTTTGAGGTGCATTGGCTCGCTGTTTTATTTACTATGGATCAGTGGAGTAGAAATTCCCATCGCGGAAGAGGGTTCATTCCTGTCTCTCAGCCTCAGCAAAGTTAAACATTTCAGACCTTGCCTGACTTTGGATCTATTGCGCATGCTCTGTCCTTTACCACTATCCAGTCCTGGGGGGCATATAGAGCCACTCAGAGCCTTAGAGGTACGTTCAGTGAAATGGAGCCAATCACCATATAGTGTAGCCTATTGTTCGTCTGACCAAAATGCACTATGTTGCGATAGCATGGATTCTACAGACCCGTGAAGCCCATTTGGACCACAAGACACTCTTTCCATCATGCCTGCACACCTATCCTTCACTCTTCATTGGCTCATGCAGACTTTTGAAAGTATTTAGCAATAAGCATCCTACCCCCAAGAAGCTTATGGTCTCATGGAGAAGATGGCCAAGCAACAGACAATCCCAACATGGTGAATGCCGCTAAAACAAATGCGTACCTGGATCTCCGTGAGTGCTAGGAGGAAAGCAACCCAAACTCAGAAAAGTAGGAGAGGTGTCAGGGAAGACATTTTCCAGAAGATGGTTTCGTGTCTAACAAAGCCGTGAGACGAGCAAAGAGGAGGTGAAAGGCTCAGCGTTCTATGGGGACATTTCCTTAAGTCCAGTATCTCTAGAGTTGAGTGAGGGAAGCTAAAAGAGAGGAAATAGAAATGAAAAATGGGAGTTCTTGAGAGGCTTTACTTACCCTGCACAAGCCAAGGACAGGTCTGCGGGAAGTAAGCAGATGCACAGTTAGGAAAGCCCATATCAGGAGTTAGTCACGACAGAGAAAGATTTGTACACTTTGGAAATCGTAAAAGAATGAAAAGCCCAGGTCCTTATTTCCGTGTTTTCGTCTCTGTTTTTCACGTTCCTCCCGGATTTCAATTTCTTTCTGGAATCTTAGCTCTCTTCGTCATCTGCTCTTGCAGGAACACTGAACTGCAAACGCAACCCTACGATTCAGCGAACTACGTCCTATCAAGGTTACTGGGTACAAATACATTTACTTTCGTGAGTTCTCTTGTGACTTTCTGTATCACTGCCCACAGTTGCTACTGTGAGACAAGCATTAGAAGTCTGTGTAGATTGCTGGGTTCACACACATTTACATTCTTTTTCTCTTGTGAGCTTTGACGTGGCTACACATAATTGTTACTGTGAAATAAACATTAGAAAAGCCTGTGGCCCGTGAAATAAACATTAGAAAAGCCTGTGGCCCGTACGGGGATCGAACCCGCGACCTTGGCGTTATTAGCACCACGCTCTGACCAACTGAGCTAACCGGCCCCGCCGGCGGAACGGACCCTACCTCTCTTGAGAAGTTTAAAGGCGAACGTTATTCCAATCACCAAAGAAACTTTTCTGAAGTTCTTGGAGTTGGAAAGAACCTACGATCTTTGCTAACTTGGTTACGATCCTCGGCAAATTTCTTCTAACCTGGAAATTTCAGTTAAAATACAATTCTGCGGAAGGAAAGTTCAAATGTCACCTGCTTCAGTGTTTCACGACAAAGGGTTTCAGTGACCACCCTTTTAAACGCAACGCCATCACCGTCCGCCGGTACTGTGGCCTGTCCCTATCACTCCTTTCTACTTTGCTTCCGTAGCTTCTGAGCGACCCGTGAAGAAATTGACGGAAAACGGAAGGAATTGCCGCCAGTTCCTTTCCACGGGCCGTCAAGGCCAGTATAAGTCCCCACCCAGGCTCCTCTGCTCGTAACTTCTAGCACGATTCCCACTGAATTCGCCCATGTTTCCCAGAAGTGAGTATTTGATCCCTACCCCACCCCATTTTTAGAAAACTCAGGAAAACGCTCTCGTATTTCTATCTGAAAAGGACACTTTAGAGAAATACGTTCCATTACAGTCTTTGTGTTCGCATTGTATTCCTTCTCGATGAAACAGGTATAAGTCCATTGGTATTTTACGCACGACAAGACAACTTTGCAGCCCGACTCATGACCTTTAGATTAAGAAACACTCTCCGGGAGCTCTGCTGATCGCTGGGTCTTACGAGGTTGATGCCTTCTGTCCCAAAGAGAACTATTTCCCTGCGTGTTTCCGCCTGGCTGCCCACTTCTCCAGTAGAGAAACAGCTGTTCCTCGGGATTCATTTTTGGAAGTTCTTTGGGTCCTGGGTAATGGGGCCGCATCCTGCAGCGTCGACAAGGTGGTTGAATACGCAGGAACACCCACAGTACCCAGGGACTAATAAATAGCTCAATAGATACATTTCGAATAACTGAATAAAGGAAATCTCAACCAACCCCCTTGCCGTATTACAGGTGGTCCAGCTCTCTGCCTAGACTATTGTGCTAATGTCCTGTTCCTTCTCCCGGCTTTTGAACTAGATTCTCACCTCTCTCCAATCCATCTTTCGCAGGGCTGGCCTGTCTTTCCGCCTCACTTCTGAAATTCTATCCATTGCAGCCTCTATGCAAACCGACTCTGGTTAATACTTCAGTCGGTATGGCTCCCCTCTTCCGCACTTTGCACTGCGAGAAATGCCCTTCCTTGAGGCAGCTGGAGGCCTCCTCCTCCTGAGAGCTTAATTGTGGACACAGTCTTGAGTAGAGGCGAAAAGGAAAGAAGGCTGGGAGATAATGGGGGAAAAGCACACCTTTGGTCTGGTTTGAAAGCTGGCGCCCGAAAAGGGGAGCGAAAGGACAAGAAAAAAAAACACGCTCCGAAAGTGTCTGAGATTGCTGCGGCCATAAAGCAGAGCACTAACCGCGGTACTGATAAGGGAGGGGAGCAGGGCTCCGCCGCCGGGCCTGTGCCCATGGATCTAGGTGAGGACGGGCACTCCTTCCTCCGCGGCCAAATGTTGCATTTCCCAAGACCACCCTGGCCCGCCACGCCCCCATCCTGTGCCTATAAAAACTCCCGAGACCCTAGCGGGCACGGACACAAGCGGCTGGACGTGAAGAGGAACACACCGGCGGGAGAACACAGAACACCAACCCTCTCTTTAGTCACCCTGGAGGCCTCGGAGAAGGCGGTTTCGGTGATCCGTGAAGAGACCCCGAGTCTGTTACATCCCGGAGAATGACAAGAGAGCGAGTACCTGGGTGACGTTTACGTTCTGGGATTTCGGGAGATGCGGTTTTCTGCACGCCAGGGGCCAAGCCTGAGACGTAGATGGACGGCAGGGATAGGAGCTCTCTCCGCGCCACAAACGCCCCTGCTCATACCTGGGTTCCTTGATTTTCCTGCCTATATAACCGAGCCTCCCATGGCCGGGCTCTGAGCTCTCATTCTGCGGACTGGGACAAAGGGGTTAACTGTGATGCGCTTTGTATAACCCCAGGATTCTGCACTTGCCCAAGGGCGAGGCGCAAATCAAAAACTACGCACAACTGAACACCGAGATCAGGTGAGTCCTGAGTGTCTCACGACATAAAATCCTTACGATTTTAACAAGAGTTGTATTTGTGCTAGCACTGTTAACTGACAAACGCATGCCAGATCCCATCTGTCTTTAAAGCTCAATGTGTGACGTTAGACACGTCGTTTTGCTCTTCAACTTTCTTATTTGGAAAAAAAACAAAAAAACAAAAAAACAAGTGTTCTAGATTTGCAGAGGACCTTTTCGGAGCTAAGTTCCAGTAGCTATACTGTAAGTTGATTTCTTGGGCAGTTCTGTTGGTGAGGAAAGAGGGCAAATTGAGAAATGAACAAACACAGAAGTTGCAAAAGCCCTGTGACTTACAGCACAGGACGAGTCTACAAACCCTGCCATACCACACTAAGCTCAAATTGTTTTAACACCAGCTTACTCAGACCCGATGATCCAAGATAAGACCAAAGCCAAACGGATCCAGCAACTCTGCGCAGATCTTCATGTTCCAGCAGCTAAGTTCCACTGAATAAACCTATGATTCGCCTAGTTTAGAAATTCTGGCCGTGCGCGGTGGCTCACGTCTGTAATCCCAGCACTTTCGGAGGCCGAGGCGGGCGGATCACAAGGTCAGGAGACCGAGACCATCCTGGCTAACACGGTGAAACTCCGTCTCTACTAAAGATACAAAAAAAATTAGCCGGGCGTGGTGGCGGGCGCCTGTAGTCCCAGCTACTCGGGAGGCTGAGGCAGGAGAATGGCGTGAACTCGGGAGGCGGAGCTTGCAGTGAGCCGAGATCGCGCCACTGCACTCTAGCCGGGACGACAGAGCAAGACTCCGTCTCAAAAAAAAAAAAAAAAAAAAAAAAGAAAAGAAAAGAAAAAGAAAAAGAAATTCTGTCCAGTCCCTCCTGAGAAGGACCTTACTAACCTTCCCCCTAAAAGTGTCCTATGAATAGCTCCAGTCCCCAGACCCTTTAAATTCTGGTCTCTGACTCACCCTTGTTTTAGGCAGTACTGGGACTCCATAGAGGTACGGCTCTTTGCTCAGCAAGTTTAATAAATCCAAGGTAGTAGAATCAATTTGTTTTCTTGGTCGTCTTGTTTGGAGGGAGTGGGTCTTCTCAATGTTGGTTCTGATCCCTGCCTATGGATATTTATGAATAAATAGATATTTGCACTCCATCATCATGTGGAGCTACAAGTGTTAAATTTAACGATCTAATTACCTCTAAAATAACCACTAAATTCAACAATCTGAAACTTATCTAATTAGTTCCACATCCTGGAATGAAGGGATTTAATAGGTAATAACAGGTCTCAGTCTCTAATGGAGACATAATCACACAGACACCAGATGAAAGATGAGTAAAGTGGAAAGCAATAGGTAGAACAATAATTTGCTTTATGCTATGATTTTTGGAGCGAAGCAAGAAAATTAATCAAGGAAACAAAGAAGAAATCCAAGACTTAGTAGTGTTGGATTTGCATTTTTGTCATATGACACTACTTGTATTTTACAGGATTCACTTGGTCTCCATCTGACCTCCTCAGAGTAGACTGCTCTTTCCCAATCACTCCTGCAATTACCCTAGGAGATGTGTGATCCTAAAGTAAGGGGGAGTTTTAAATTTACTTCTAAGTACACCTGCATGATGCCATTAGTCAGGGCAGGGTAGCTGAACAAACTCAGCTCTGAATCCTTTAAGCAGAGGTAATAATTGCTGACACTATTTAATCGGATTCTGAACATGATGTGCCACTTTTCCTTTTGCGTCTGAAGTGACACCAGCCATTTTCACAGTTTCTTCCACTAGGAGGTCCTGGGAGAAAAGTGATAAAGGTAGATTCAAGAATGGTTAGTTTGATAAGAGAAATATAAAGGCAAGTATCTTTTTCACTCAGTTCACCTTGGTTCTAAGAGTGGGTCTATATAAAGAAATGGAGCATGCTTCTGCTAATTAATGTTCAGGCAGAAAAAGTCATGAATTCCACTACAAACCCATGTCCCTTCTTCCGAAGACATGACAAATTGATGAGGGTATGCTTTCTTCTGTCGGTAAAACGAAGTCTGGGATATAGATTGCAATATTAGCAGTGCCATAGTGCAGAATTTCTCATAATTAACACTTTTCACTTGAATACATAAGAAAATAGAATTGGAATGTAAAGTTAATAAATTAATCATGTTATAAACAATATGAACATAAAAGCAAAAATTGCAAGGTCTTTGGCATGCAGTCTTTGATTTGGGGAATGCATTTTTTCTATTGTTATCAGGAAGAAAGAACAGAAACAGTTCATATTCACATGGACTAGACAAAAGTATGCATTTATGTTCTTACTCCAGAGGTATACCAAGTCCCCCAATTTTTCCTAATCTAGTCCAAAGAGAATTGAACTGTCTGCACCAACAGCAAAACATTGGTACACTGTATTGATAGTATCATTTAAATCTTCGATGAGCAAGAAGTGTCAAGTAAGTTGCAGATTTTGTTAAGCCCTGCATGCTCCAGAGGGTGGGAGAGAAACACAGAAACCATTCATCGACCTGGTTCGTGAATGAAAGTTTTTAGGATCTGTGAAATTCTGAGACATTTCCTCCAAAGTAAAGTCTCATTGTTGTATCTCGAAGCTCCCGTCACTTAGAAGGGAGCACTGTGCTCACCATGTTTCTCTGAGCTGTGAAAGCGGCGCG